>NC_000006.12:95525335-95676850 GCF_000001405.40 Homo sapiens | reverse complement strand
ATAACAATCAGTTACTCACTAATAAATATTTATTGTCATACTTATTTTGTGGCTAGGCTATTTCTAGATATGATGGTATAGAAATGAACAATTCAAATGTGATTCATTCTCTAGCTTAAAATTTTTCATTATAATTAAAATAAGATTCTTACATTGCCTATGAGGATAAATTAATACTTGAGTCTGTGCCTATGTGTATGAGCTCAAGTCATACTAGATCCTCTGAGCTTACTCTGCTCCAGGCACACTGTTCTACTGCCCTTCTTTTTGTTTCTTGGACAACATCTTAATCTCCTCCTTTGACTCAGACCATTTGCACTAGCTGTTAGGTCTATCTGATATGCCCTTCCCTCAGATATTATGGTTTCTTCTCATCATTCAGATCTCAAGTCAAAGAGTGACCTCACAGAGTCTCTGGCCTAAAATAGTTCCTAGCGCCACTCTCCAATTACCATCTATCCCTTAATACTGACTGTTTCACTTCTTATCCAAATTAATTGCTATTGGAAATTATTTATTTTCAAATATTTATTGCCTTTTTCAAGTGTTCACAGCTTTTCTGATTTTATGACTGCATTTGACAGCCACATCCCACATTTTATTCCCTGCCTCCAGGACCCTGCCATGGCTCTGGGTCACCTTTTTCTTAGTTGATTTATAGCACTAAGTACTCTTTGTATGGTAATGATCTTTGTATTTTACTGTTCCCTAGCACAAATATGTAGGCTACTTGAGAATAGAAACCAAACATTGCCATTCACAGATGTAGCTCCTGGAAAAATACACAGCACACAGTAGCAGTTTCTCAAAAATATTCATTGAGCAAATTAACAAATTCACTAATTTTAAAATTTGTACAATATTGACTACTTAATTACCACATGTTATTCTGACTGTTTCACAGAAGTAAAGAAAAAACCACATATGCTTAATCTACCTTCTCCCTTTTTAAATGAGTGTTACACTCCTACTGTAAAACTATCAGTGCCACATACTGTTTTTCAAGCCACTTTTCAGTTCTGGCATATCAAGTGTTCTACTTTTAGGTCTGCCTATAGAAAGCAAGTAGGAAGAGATACAAAAGTTTTGCATACTATCATTTGAAATTTCTATTCTATTTCACATCATTCTCTTAAATTAATTATAAAGCAAACTTCTGACATTTCATAGAAATGAGCTCATTTACTTATATGGATAAGAGGATGAAAGAAGGTTTATAATAATTTTTACATTATTATTTGTATCTCTGACTTATGTGTACAACCATTTTAATATATACGCCTTCTGTTAACAAAGAGCAGATTGAATTTCTTCCAACAATGATGTAAAATTACCTCCAACATTGAATATAGCTCTTCAATCTTATGAAACCAAATTATTTCTTAATTTCTCAAAGAGAAGATGCATGCTTATTACTTATTACACAAAATTAGATCATTCCTCTGATTCAGAGAGACTTATAAAGTTGATATGGTTTGGCTGTGTCCCCACCCAAATCTCAACTTGAATTGTATCTCCCAAAATTCCCACGTGTTATGGAAGGGACCCAGGGGGAGGTAATAGAATCATGAGGGCCAGTCTTTCCCATGCTATTCTTGTGATAATGAATAACTCTCATGAGCTGTGATGGGTTTATCAGGGATTTCCACTTTTGCTTCTTCCTCATTTTCTTTTGCTGCCACCATTTAAGTGCCTTTTGCCGCCACCATGTAAGTGCCTTTTGCCTCCCGCCATGATTCTAAGGCCTCCCCAGCCATGTGGAACTGTAAGTCCAATTAAACCTCTTTTTCTTCCCAGTCTCAGAAGTGTCTTTATCAGCAGTGTGAAGACAGACTAATACAGGAGTATATTTGGATAAGAATAATAGAACACCTGAAAACATAATTATATGCACAAGACAAAACAAATCTGTTCTTTGATGATGGTTATTTTCATCAGAGTTATATTTCAAAAAAAATTTAAATCTTCAAATACTTATAAGAAAAATAAAATAAAATAGACCATTACTTATAGCTACAACCTATGCCATTTGGGGTAACTTTCCCATATATCAATAGAGTTAGCCAAAATAAAAACATTATTACTTGATTCATTAGCTTAACATTGTACAAAGACATATAATTCAGCCTTTAGATTCAAATGTTCTTCTATGTGTAGTTAAAATATATATTGATAACATGAATTTCAGAAATAAGATTAAATAACCATTAAACTGGGCTAAGTAAAGGCATTGTAGTCTACAATTGCATTAGAATTAGGATCATGATTTTTTAAAAACATTAAACTAGTTCATCATAACATAAAAGGACATGCATTTTTAATTTGGCTCAGGATGTTATTTTTTACAACATATTCTTTACTCAAGAATTATGTTCTCAAGAGCACAGTAAATTTTATGCTCCAGAAAAGATGTGCGTTAGCATTGCTTTTGCTTTCTATTGCTTTTATCAAAGCAGTCCAGGCAAGTGGAACTGAAATTAATGCAAGAGAGAAAAATCAGCATCATTCAATGAAAATTTTCATGCAACACGGTCTGTGGTGTTTTTCTAGCAATCTAGGGTGAAATGGACAGTGTTTTCCATTTTAACTGTTCTTTCAATATTGGCCTTTGATACTACATGAAGAGATACACTCTAGTGACTGACAATCAGAGTTGCCCAAATATTAGTAGCAACTTGTGTTTATATTTCACAGTGGTAGCACCGTGTGTTTATATGTCAAAAAGTTTTTTACATACTGAGGTAGTCTGAGATTTTTATGGAAATTCCTCCAATACAGAAAATGATGTGCAAACCATAATGTCAATTGGTCATGTGCAATCACTTAACTTGGACAGTGCTATTTTACAAGGAGGATGGACTCAAGGGCATACTGGGAAGAGGAGGGAATGATCTAGAAAAAAAAAGGACAGGATGGATACAGCTGTAGAATGCTACAATGAACAAAAAAATTAAAAAATGGTACATGGGCTAGACTATATCTAAGTCAGAGTCCTACAACAAATACAGGCTCACTTCTTATTGCTTTCCTCATTTTCCTTATATTTATTTGTCATAATAAATCTGTGTTTTTTTGGCATCATTTTATTCTTTTAATTTTTTAAAACTAGTACAAGCATTAGTTCCAGCAAGAGGCTCTTTGGCTTCCTGACTTCACAAGAGCAAAGATAGTCTTTTAGGACTGAAAATAATGACTTCTGGGATGTCTTACATTGACAATTTCAATATTAAATTAGTTAAAACAAACAAAAAAAACCATGGCAGAAATGTTAGTTTAGGAGCAAGTGAGAGCATAGAATAAATGAGACAACACCTCTCTCAACACAAGCATGATGCAAGTTGTCAAGAGGACAGGGAGGATGCAGCCAGGCTCTGCTACCACAGTGAGGGAATTTCCCTCCTATAATGCACCCCAGGAGATATCATTAGTATATAAGACTTCTAAAGGTTCATAATTATGAGAAGAGTCCTTTTAGAAAACAAAACAAAAACAAATTAACAAACAAAACAATTAGCCACATTATAATTATGATGCTTTTTCTATGCTATGTTTGTATTTTGAAGATATCTCTGTGACATACACATTTGTCCTATGGTGAGCTCAGTTCAGCTGATGTGTCAGTTCATGGTCTAAAAATTCAAGTCTATCTGATGGGTGAAGTACGACCATAATTAAAGCAGCATGAGAGATGAAAATTGAGCCTATATTAAAACTGATTATCTTTACCCTTCTACAACCCATGCTCTAGGTTTTCATGTAATTTTCAAGTACATAAGGATATTAAAGTCAGATCATAAAACTAGTAAGTTATGAAGCCAGAAATTTGCATCTATAACTGTGACTCTTAAAGTTTTTCCCTTTATATTACCTCATGTCTTACTATTAGAACCAAGTGCTTAGCATTTGGGGGGTACATGGACCCCCTAAAGTAAGTAGTAAAATTGCACTTCCTGGAAAAATTCACATGCTTTTTATTCCTGAAAATATGCCATGCAATGTAAGAGGTTCACAATTACCTATATAGTAAGAGTAATAATTGGTTCAAAATGAGAGCCTCTTATGAGGGGTCAAAACGAAGGCTTTATTTACTTTTCTGGAGACCATATATATATATATTTTGAGACGGAGTCTTTCTCTGTCACCCAGGCTAGAGTGCAGTGGTACAATCTCGCCTCACTGCAACCTCCACCTCCTGGGTTCAAGCAATTCTCCTGACTCAGCCTCCTGAGTAGCTGGGATTACAGGTATGTGCCACCATGCCCAGCTAATTTTTGTATTTTTAGTAGAAACAGGGTTTCACCATGTTGGTTAGGCTGGTTTCGAACTCCTGATCTCATGATCCTCCCACCTCGGCCTCCCAAAGTGCTGGGATTACAGGCATGAGCCACCACTCCCAGCCAGGAGGCCACAAATTTTTTTTAATTATGTTGCATTCACAAAAGAAAAGGAAGATTAATAAGGCTTATCTTAAGGGACATATTATATTATAAACTAAAGGTCAACAAGAGAACAGTAAGAGCAATCATTGTGGTCTTTTGTGACTAGAACAGAAATTTAAGTTTAATATACCTTCTCCCTTCAAAGGCCTGCATTTTAAAATAATCATTGTCTGTTCAGCCAATATGATAATATTTTGCTTTACTACTTACATTACTGATATTTTAGTGTTCTCTTTTTCTGTTGTTTTCCTTTAGAAACAGTAATGTCAAAAGAATGATGTGTTTGGATGATACAATGTATGTGATTGAGAAGCTTTAAAATAACGTAATTTAAAACACAAAATGGAACAGTAATTTTCATATTCGTTACAGCTTCATGTTAATACAATTCTACCCTAGATTTCTGGATCTAGAATGCTCAACGTTTGATTCTATGGGCATAATCTCAAATCACCAAAGCCTTGGATACTTTCCTATTTTATATTATTTCAGCTTTTTTTTAAATTCAATAATGTGATTATTGAACCAACTAGGAGAAAAGCACAAATAAACCATCTTTTAAAACAAAATTCTGTAAGTCTGTAAAATCCACCATGCTATACGTCAGCTTTCAGAAGCCATCAAGTACGCTAAAATCAGATTGTTTTGATCTAAGCTACAGTATTTCTACCCTTAAGAAATACAGGAATCTACTTTTCTGCCAAGTAGTGAATCTCCTTTTCTGCCAAAGAGTGATCTCCCTCCCATCTCACGTAGCAGTCGCGGAACTAAGTGTCACGTTAATGTGGGAGTGTGCACCTTCTCTTGGAAACAGTAAAAGTTACAGAGTTTTCCTGAGCACAGGTGGGGCAGTAGTAAGAACAAGCAGAAAGTGAGGAAATTTGGAAGGCTCATGAGACTCAATGATAAATGCATAAAATTACTTTGTAAATTGTAAATTATTATTGCCATATTAAATTTTCCATTTTCTTATTGCTATTGCTATTACTACTATCACGGCTACTACAGTTAATATTGAGGTTCCATAGACCGTGAATCTGAAAAGTCCTATTTGTTCATGAGAAAAGGTGTAGTACTGTGTCCGGAATTGGTGGGTTCTTGGTATCACTGAGTTAAAGAAGGAAGCCGCAGACCCTCCAGGAGAGTGTTAACAGTTCTTAAAGGCGGCACGTCCCGAGTTTGTTCCTTCTGATGTTCGGATGTGTTCGAAGTTTCTTCCTTCTGATGGGTTCTTGGTCTGGCTAGCTCAGGAGTGAAGCTGCAGACCTTCGTGGTGAGTGTTACAGCTCATAAAGGCAGTGCGGACCCAAAGAGTGAGCAGCAGCAAGATTTATTACAAACAGCGAAAGAACAAAGCTTCCACACTGCGGAAGGGGATCCCAGTGAGTTGCCACTGCTGGCTCCTGCAGCCTGCTTTTATTCCCTTATCTGTCCCCACCCACACCCTCCTGATCGGCCCATTTTACAGAGAGCTGATTGGTCTGTTTTACAGAGAGCTGATTGGTCCATTTTGACAGGGTGCTGATTGGTGCCTTTACAATCCCTGAGCTAGACACAAAAGTTCTCCAAGTCCCCACTAAGATTAGCTAGACACAGAGCACTGATTGGTGCATTTACAAACCTTGAGCTAGACACAGCATGCTGATTGGTGTATTTATAAACCTTGAGCTAGACACAGAGTGCTGACTGGTGTATTTACAATCCCTTAGCTAGACATAAAGGTTCTCCAAGTCCCCACCTTATTAGCCAGATACAGAGTGCTGATTGGTGCATTCACAAACCTTGAGCTAGACACAGAGTGCTGATTGGTGCATTTACAAACCTTGAGGCAGACACAGAGTGCTGAGTGGTGTATCTACAATCCCTTAGCTAGACATAAAAGTTCTCCAAGTCCCCACTAGACTCAGGAGCCCAGCTGGCTTCACCTAGTGGATCCTGCACCATGGCCCAGGCGGAGCTGCCCACCAGTCCCGTGCCCTGAGCCCACACTCCTCAGCCCTTGGGCCGTCGATGGGACCGGGCACCGTGGAGCAGGGGGTGGCGCTAGTCGGGGAGGCTCCGGCCGAGCAGGAGCCCATGGGGTCGGGGAGGAGTCTCAGGTATGGCAGGCTGCAGGTCCAGAGCCCAGCCCCACAGGGAGGCAGCTGAGGCCCCACGAGAATTCCAGCACAGTACCGGCAGGCAGGCACTGCTGGGGAACCCAGTGCACCCTCCACAGCTGCTGGTCTGGGTGCTAAGCTCCTCACTGCCCAGGGCTGGGGGCGTTGGATGGCTGCTCTGAGTGCCCGCTGCTGAGCCCACGCCCACTCGGAACTCGGCGCTGGCCCGCAAGCACCGTGCGCAGCCCTGGTTCCCGCCCGCGCCTCTCTGTCCACACCTCCCCACAAGCTGAGGGAGCCGGCTCCGGCCTCGGCCAGCCCAGAGAGGGGCTCCCACAGTGCAGCGGCCGGCTGTTAAGGGCTCCTCAAGCACAGCCAGAGTGGGCGCCAAGTCCAAGAAGGTGCCAAGAGCAAGCGAGGGCCGCCAGCACATTGTCACCTCTCAGTACCATGGATTGATAATAGGTTTCATGTCAAAGAGATTAATGTTTGAATTTAGGCTCTGCATTCAATATCTATGTAACTTGAGGCAAATTATTTAATTATCTGAGCCTCAGGTTTCTCATCTGTAAAGTGTGAATAAAAATTGTATCTGAGTAATTCCATTTCTGGGCATGATGGAATTACTGGTACCAAATTATTCTTCCTACAAACAACAACAACAAAAACAACAAAAACCCCCAAAAAGCTAGATAAATGGAAAACATTTATGAAGCAACTGTGTTCAGATGTTAGACAATAGATTGAGGTGGAATATTTGCCCATAAAGAAAGTAGCAAATATACGTATAATTGTGCCGGCTTTCTGCCTGGATGCACATTGCTGAGTAGAAAATAAGGAGAAGAAACACATATAAGGATGGCATTCTTGCTCAGTTAGTGACTCAGCAATCAGAGATCAGGGAAGCTAAGGTAGCTGAAGTGTACAGGGCAGAATTGAAGGGGTCAAACACAGAGAGAGACCACCAGAATTTGCGGAGAGGATTATCACTGAGCATTTAACCATAAAGCTGTCACATGTGATAAGACTCTAAGAGGCCTTGAAAACAATTATCATGGAGGTAGGAAAGCTTCCTTGAAATATTAACAAAAATTCTCACAGCTTAAAGGAGGGTGAGGCTCAGGCTTCTAATACTAGCAACTGAAAAGGCTGAAGTAGGACTACTTGAGGCCAGGGATTTTAGACCAGTCAAAGCAATATGGAAAGACCTCTTCTCTACAAAAAATTAAAAGATTAGCCAAGTGTGAGGGTTTGCACCTGTATTCCCAGCTACTTGGGAGAGTGAGGTGGGAGGATCACTCTTGAACCAGGAGGATCTCTGGGGCATTTTTGATAATGGAGTCTTTACTAAATTCATTCTTTCAGTTACTACATTCTCGAGTGTTTCCCAGGTCTAAAATAATTCAAAGTGGAAATAAGAATAAAGGAACTATAGACAACAGCTTTACAAATCTTATAATCTGGGAAGAGATAAATGAGAAACACAATTTCTATTTGTTCACATAACAGGATTTTATGAGATCCAAAAGACATAGAAAATTATAAAACAAGTGAAGGTATGCTAATTTTTTGAGAAAAATTAAGCAAACTGAAATTGGAATAAATCAGTGCAGATTTCTTACTGAGTTTAACAGTTGAGTAAGACTCTGAAAAATGAAGATGATTTCAAATGGCTGCATTCTCGATAGCAGGAACAGCAGTGAGAAGAAGGGAATGGTTGGAGAGTAGTTTTATTGAAAAAACAGTAAACAAGTTTAGAGGAAGCACTGGATAAGGCTAGGCTAGTAGGAGTAAATTGGGTTGTGAAGAAAGGTTAAGGCCAAAGAGTGACAAATCTCGACTAGCATGCTGAATCTGTATCTATCCTATCAATGACGATGAAGGGACATAACGAAATCAGTACTTTAGGGGATGAATCTGGGAGCCATACCAATAGAAACTTGGTATCTAAAGGAAATGGTGGATATTATAGTAAATCAAGTGAGAGACAAACACTATTGGTCATCCGTCTATCCATTCATTCACTTACACAACATTTATTATCTTCTTTATGTCATGCATAATGGCCAGCATTAGGAGATATGCAATTAAAAAAAGCAACTAAAAATGGAACTTTGGCTTTCCCAAATTTACTTTCTGCCAGGAAATAATGACATTAACCAAATAATTGCAAGTATGATGAGTTTCATAAATTAAAGAAACAAAGGATTCTCTGGAAGTCACAATCAGTGAAAGAGATTATGATCCTTATATTCTCCACTTCTCACCATGAATGGGCCTTCTGCTAGACCCCAAAAAAGATAAACAGAAGAAAGAGAAAAGAGAAATCATTCTTTAGTACTAGCTGGAATTTGGCCGCAATCTCCCATATAAGACTATTTTATACTAGATAGACTTTATGCAACCTAGACCATATCCCTTCTCTTCATGAACTCCCTCTTGTTCATTTCTATTTTGCTTTTTATTTTTTTTTTGTTTTGTTTTGTTTTTCTTTTTTGTTTTTCTTTTTTTTTTTTTTATTATACTTTAAGTTTCAGGGTACATGTGCACATTGTGCAGGTTAGTTACATATGTATACATGTGCCATGCTGGTGCGCTGCACCCACTAACTTGTCATCTAGCATTAGGTATATCTCCCAATGCTATCCCTCCCCCCTCCCCCCACCCCACCACAGTCCCCAGAGTGTGATATTCCCCTTCCTGTGTCCATGTGATCTCATTGTTCAATTCCCACCTATGAGTGAGAATATGCGGTGTTTGGTTTTTTGTTCTTGCAATAGTTTACTGAGAATGATGATTTCCAATTTCATCCATGTCGCTACAAAGGACATGAACTCATCCTTTTTTATGGCTGCATAGTATTCCATGGTGTATATGTGCCACATTTTCTTAATCTAGTCTATCATTGTTGGACATTTGGGTTGGTTCCAAGTCTTTGCTATTGTGAATAATGCCGCAATAAACATACGTGTGCATGTGTCTTTATAGCAGCATGATTTATAGTCATTTGGGTATATACCCAGTAATGGGATGGCTGGGTCAAATGGTATTTCCAGTTCTAGATCCCTGAGGAATCGCCACACTGACTTCCACAATGATTGAACTAGTTTACAGTCCCACCAACAGTGTAAAAGTGTTCCTATTTCTCCACATCCTCTCCAGCACCTGTTGTTTCCTGACTTTTTAATGATCGCCATTCTAACTGGTGTGAGATGGTATCTCATTGTGGTTTTGATTTGCATTTCTCTGATGGCCAGTGATGATGAGCATTTTTTCATGTGTTTTTTGGCTGCATAAATGTCTTCTTTTGAGAAGTGTCTGTTCATGTCCTTCGCCCACTTTTTGATGGGGTTGTTTGTTTTTTTCTTGTAAATTTGTTTGAGTTCATTGTAGATTCTGGATATTAGCCCTTTGTCAGATGAGTAGGTTGCGAAAATTTTCTCCCATTTTGTAGGTTGCTTGTTCACTCTGATGGTAGTTTCTTTTGCTGTGCAGAAGCTCTTTAGTTTAATTAGATCCCATTTGTCAATTTTGTCTTTTGTTGCCATTGCTTTTGGTGTTTTGGACATGAAGTACTTGCCCATGCCTATGTCCTGAATGGTAATGCCTAGGTTTTCTTCTAGGGTTTTTATGGTTTTAGGTCTAATGTTTAAATCTTTAATCCATCTTGAATTGATTTTTGTATAAGGTGTAAGGAAGGGATCCAGTTTCAGCTTTCTACATATGGCTAGCCAGTTATCCCAGCACCATTTATTAAATAGGGAATCCTTTCCCCATTGCTTGTTTTTCTCAGGTTTGTCAAAGATCAGATAGTTGTAGATATGTGGCATTATTTCTGAGGGCTCTGTTCTGTTCCATTGATCTATATCTCTGTTTTGGTACCAGTACCATGCTGTTTTGGTTACTGTAGCCTTGTAGTATAGTTTGAAGTCAGGTAGTGTGATGCCTCCAGCTTTGTTCTTTTGGCTTAGGATTGACTTGGCGATGCGGGCTCTTTTTTGGTTCCATATGAACTTTAAAGTAGTTTTTTCCAATTCTGTGAAGAAAATCATTGGTAGCTTGATGGGGATGGCATTGAATCTGTAAATTACCTTGGGCAGTATGGCCATTTTCACGATATTGATTCTTCCTACCCATGAGCTTGGAATTTTCTTCCATTTGTTTGTATCCTCTTTTATTTCCTTGAGCAGTATGAAGAGGAACTGGTACCATTCCTTCTGAAACTATTCCAATCAATAGAAAAAGAGGGAATCCTCCCTAACTCATTTTATGAGGCCAGCATCATTCTGATACCAAAGCCGGGCAGAGACACAACCAAAAAAGAGAATTTTAGACCAATATCCTTGATGAACATTGATGCAAAAATCCTCAATAAAATACTGGCAAAACGAATCCAGCAGCACATCAAAAAGCTTATCCACCATGATCAAGTGGGCTTCATCCCTGGGATGCAAGGCTGGTTCAATATACGCAAATCAATAAATGTAATCCAGCATATAAACAGAGCCAAAGACAAAAACCACATGATTATCTCAATAGATGCAGAAAAACCTTTGACAAAATTCAACAACCCTTCATGCTAAAAACTCTCAATAAATTAGGTATTGATGGGACGTATTTCAAAATAATAAGAGCTATCTATGACAAACCCACAGCCAATATCATACTGAATGGGCAAAAACTGGAAGCATTCCCTTTGAAAACTGGCACAAGACAGGGATGACCTCTCTCACCACTCCTATTCAACATAGTGTTGGAAGTTCTGGCCAGGGCAATTAGGCAGGAGAAGGAAATAAAGGGTATTCAATTAGGAAAAGAGGAAGTCAAATTGTCCCTGTTTGCAGACGACATGATTGTATATCTAGAAAACCCCATTGTCTCAGCCCAAAATCTCCTTAAGCTGATAAGCAACTTCAGCAAAGTCTCAGGATACAAAATCAATGTACAAAAATCACAAGCATTCTTATACACCAATAACAGACAAACAGAGAGCCAAATCATGAGTGAACTCCCATTCACAATTGCTTCAAAGAGAATAAAATACCTAGGAATCCAACTTACAAGGGATGTGAAGGACCTCTTCAAGGAGATCTATTTTGCTTTTTAAAGTTTGGTGTGAGAGTGAGGGTAAGTTTTACTAAAAAGGAATCAGAGATATTACCTCAAAACACAAAAAAAGAAAAGAGGGAATGAGGAAGGAAGAGAGAGACAGAAGCAAGGACAAAAGGAGGAGGAAAGAGAATAAACAAAAATAGGATAAACACACAAACAAATCCAGAGAGAAAAGGACAAATTTTGTAACAGCAAGAGTTTTGAATCATTTTTATACTCACCACAAAAGCTCTTATTCCTCAGCATCATGGCCTCAAAATGTTCTTCACTGTGACGCCTATGAGGCTTTCTTTCCTCGAAAGGGGAAAAAGAGAATTTAAATACTGTTAGAGTTCAAAATTTTCCATTAGTAAGTATAACCAGAACTCTAGCAACAGCAACATGGAGAAAGAAGGAAAGGGACTGAGAGATACTGTAGATGGATAAACTAAAGACTGGAGTTTCCAGGGTAGAACATAGAACAAGGAATGAGTACAATAGAAAGGATACAAAAAGTATGTAATGACTTGAATGTGTAGAGATATGTCTAATTTTGCATATGCTGAATTGGAAGTACTGGTATAGTACTGTATTAGGCTGTTCTTCTGCTGCTATAAAGAAGTACCTAAGACTGGGTAATTTTTTAATAAAAAGAGGTTTAATTGGCTCACAGTTCTGCAGGCTTTACAGAAAGCATGGCACTGTTATCTGCTTGGCTTCTGGGGAGGCCTCATGAAGATTGTAATCATGGCAAAGGCAAAAGGGGAGCAGGTGTCTCCCATGGTAGAGCAGGACCAAGAGAGAGTGTGGGAGAGGTACCACACACTTTTAAATGGCCAGATCTTGTGAGAACTCACTCAATACGGTGAGGACAGCACTAAGACATGAGGGATCTACCCCCATGACAAAAAAACCTCCCACCAGGCCCCACCTCCAACACTGGGGATTACATCTCAACATGAGATCTGGAGGGGACAAACATTCCAACGATATCAAGTACCAAGTTGGAATTGTACAGTTGATGTTAGAAAAAATGTGGCATATATTTTATGTGAGCTGTTAGAATTGAATATATGGATTTTAAAGTCATTTGCTTTGAGGTGGTTATAGACACCTTGGAAAGTAATCAGTGAAGGGGTTGACATTATGGGAGTAAAAGAAAGCTTGAAATAAAATTCAGAAGTAAATTTGACATGCAAATAAGTAAAATCAAAGCTGAGCCAGCCAACATAGAGGAAGGGTGGTAAGAGAGAAGTAAGGAAGAAAAGTATTTCAAGAAAGGCATAATGAAAAATATCTACAGTTGCTTATAAACAGAACAAGGAGAAAGAAACTAAAAACATAAAACATGTGCTATGAAATTCATACGCAAAATCCTGTATTAATGTGGTATGGATAGAAGACAGAATGTAACGGGTTTAGGATTGGGTGAGCGAATGGGAGATGAAGACATATATGTAGTAATTTGAAGGGATGACAAGATTGAAAGGATTAGTTTTTTCTTCTCAAGTGCAAAGATCTAAGCATTTTCAGTTGAAACAGTGTTGATGATACAAGACAAAATAGATATAGCTGATGGAAAATTTTGTGACGGAGGTTGAAAGGAGTTGGATTAAGAAGGAAAGAGGAAAGGGAGACTTAGCTAGCAGGATTTATTTTAAGTGTAGAGAGGAAAAATTGAATAAGCTCTTACCAGTTAGTTTGAGCCTTCATATTAAAGTAGGTCGCAAAGCCATCTTCAAAAAATGAAAAGCAGTGAAGCTCTGGCTTAGTGGTAAAGCAAGTGAATGAGAACAGTAATAATATAGGGAGGATTTAAAAGAAGTATGTAAAAGTAATGATGGTGGTAATAGGTTTAGTAGAAAGGAATGAGTGGGAGGTTGAAAACAGGGAAATTGTATTCAGAGAAGTGTTTGGTGGAATGCTGGAGAAATAACAGACGAAATAATGTTAACATTGTAGGTTTCAAGGTTTTGGTAAATACAGAAAAGTAGTTAAATTTAATTACTTTGGGGTAGAAAGGGTGGTAAGATCAGGCAACTGACATTTACAACAGGAATCACCTATTTATTTACATAGTTTTTTTCTGCCTTTCTTAGTGCTCCTGCTCATGTAATAAGTCTTATCAGGAACTAAGTAGTTATTTTAATTCTGTAAAAATGCTTCATCATTGAATTATTTGAATGGTTTTCATTATAAACTTTTGATGCAAATTCTAATAGGCTGAATATATACAGCCTTAGGAAAGTTAATTTGTTTTTAAAAAAATCCCTTAATAGCTACTTAAAAAACTAAAAAAGAAAGATAAGAAAGGATTAAAGTTGATATATCTTATGGCTCAGAAAATGCAAAGCTAACTGAAAATATGAAAGGCCTTAACACATGAAAATTTTGTAATAAAAATAAATTATCTTCGTGAATATGCATTCAGAAGGTGGTAAATAAAGCTATTCACTCATAAAAGCACATTTTAAACCAAAAAAAAATAGAGCCATCACCCAATAAGAAAAATTGCCTCTTATGTTCCTGTAATATAAACACACTAAAGTGTAAAAAATCACAACACTGTCAGTAAGTCTGAAAACTTACTAAGGATGTGTTTACACAATTATGGTAGTAGGATCCAAGATCAAAAATTATGTGGCTTCCCCGTCACCTAGTCTCATTCTATTACAAAACAATGTAACTAAAACATATAACAGATAAACAGATTTTATGTATGTTTTCCTGGAATCAGAAAAATTTAGTACATAAGTCACATCCACAGGAGATAAACATACTCAACAGGGTCACTAACTTACCTCCACTTCAGTTCAGCAGAATAAAGAGTGCACAGATTCTTTACTCTGTATCTGATCAGTTTTTCCCCAGAAGCCCTACCCCACTGGGTAGCTGAAAAAAAGAAAACTAAATTTACCTAATTCAATAATCTTATTTTGAGTCAATAACATTAAGCTATGCTTTAGGTAATTTTATTTCTTTAGATAAAAAGATTTTATTGCAGATTTCCATCCTTCCATTTTGAGAAAGGGCAATGATTTCTGCAATCTCACATCAGCCGAGGGCCTTCACCCTCCTCCCATCCTCCACCCTCAAAAAGGTCCCAGTGTCCATTGTTCCCCTCTTTGTCCTCACATTTTCTTTATCCAGTCCATTATTGTTGGACATCTAGGTTGATTCCATGTCTTTGGTATTGTGAGTAGTGCTGAGATGAACATATGAATGCATGTATCTTTTTGGTAGAATGATTTATATTCCTTTGGGTGTATACCCAGTGGAATGGGATTGCTGGGTCAAATGGTAGTTCTATTTTAAGTTTTTTCAAAAATTTCCAAACTGCTTTCCACAGTACCTGAACTAATTTATATTTACACCAGTAGTGTAAAAATGTTCCCTTTTCTCTACAACCTTGCCAACATCTGCTATCTGTAAGGAACTTAAACAAACCAACAAAGAAAAAAACAAACAATCCCAATTTAAAAAATGGGCAAAGAATATGAGCAGACACTTCTCAAAAGAAGACATATGCAGCCAATAGACATGAAAAAATGTTCAACATCACTAATCATTAAAGAAATGCAAATCAAAACCATAATAAGATACCATCTCACCCTAGTCATAATAGCTATTATTAAAATGACCAGTACTTTTATACCATGCTGGCACATTGAATCCTTAGAATTTACCCAGGGGTTGGCAGCTTCCATCACACGATTACCAAGCAACTATGCCACTTGCCACAATGTTCTCAAGCTCTAATTTATGAATCTGAATGTTCCTCAAAACTTTCCCCTTAAAATTTGGCTCTCAAATAGAAAGAAGAGAATGGAGCTTTGGATTTGAAACTACCTGATCTAATGTACCCTAAGAGAGCAAGATGTATATGACCTAATTATCATAGGCGGATGGAATATCTTCTCTGAATTGTGAAAGAAAAACTACGGCTGGAGTCTATTAGGCTTATTTCTTCATACGCTAAAAAATTTTGGAAAATAACAAGTGGCTAGAGAAGCTTAGATATCTAGATAATTTTTCAGCAAAATTATCTTTTGAATATCACTAACTGAATATGGTGTTAACTCTTTTATTTCCTTTTCATTCCTGCTGCATCAACTGTTAGTCTAAGTGGACAAACCCAAAGGGATGCCTTGCTTCTAGTTGACTATCGAGACTAAAATGAACACATTACTGGAAAAGAAAAAGGCACATTAATAGATGTTAAGATATTGGCTGCATTACAGTTAAGCAAGAAGGTTTAGAATTAGGATGAAATCAATTTGAGCTTGATATTTGTTATGGTATTAGTCCGTTCTCATGCTGCTGTGAAGAAACATCTAAGACTGGATAATTTATAAAGGAAAGAGGTTTAATTGACTCACAGTTCAGCATGTTTGGGGGAGGCCTGAGGAAACTTGCAGTCATGGCAGAAGGGGAAGCAAACACATCCTTCTTCACTTGGCAGCAGGAGAGAAAAGGAGAAGTGCAGAGCAAAGGGGGAAGCACCTTATAAAACAACACAATCACGTGAGAACTCACTCACTATTACAAGAACAATATAGGGGAAACCATCCCCTTGATTCAATTATCTTCACCTGGTCTCACCCTTGACATGTGGGGATTATGGGAACTACGATTCAAGATGAGATTTGAGTAGGAACACGTCAAAATCATATAAGTTATCTACTTATTTATTCTGGAATTTCCACTAACTTATTTTGAATTAAGAGACTCAGACAAGCAATGGCTCACATGTTATCATTATGCTGTTATCCATGTATTCTCTAGACCAAATCTGGAATTGACTCCTTTGTGTAACATGAGCTACCTTCAAGAGCATGTAACTCTGGGATGGATGATTCACTATGATGAAAAAATGAAATGTTAACACTCAATTTTATTGAGTGGTGTGGTAGAATTCTGTTAATGCCTGTGCTCTCGAATTGTCTTCCTTTCTTTTGTTACTCTTCACACATTAGGCTCCTTTAGTCTCTCGTGCATATCTATTTCCTCTCTGTCCATCATTTTTGCCCTAAATTAGGCACTTATAATTTAAACCAGTTATACATTTTTCTGTCCAGTACTTTTTCTGTATTAGTTACCAAGGGTTGTGTAAAAAATTACCCCAAAATTTACTGCTTAAAACAAAAACTTTTGTTATCACAGCACTTCTGTAAATCAAGAATTGGGGAGTAGCCCATGGAGTGGTTTTGGCTCAGAGTTATTCATGAGGTTGCAATCAAGATTTCAGCCTGGGACCTTGTAACCTGAAGGCTTTGCTGGAGCTGGAAGATCCACTGCCAAGCTCATTCACATGGCTTTTTGCAAAAAGCCTCAGTTCCTCACCGGTTGTTTGTCAGAGGTCTTGATTCCTTACCATATGAGCTTCTCTATATGTGCCATAAGACGTATAGAATGTCCTTATAGCATTAGGAGAAAGATAACATAGAGAAGCTGCATACTTTGTATGACCTAGTCTTAGAATTGTCACTGGCTGTAACTCCTTACTGTATTCTATGTGTCAGAGGCAAGTTACTAAGTCCAGCTCACAGTTAACAGACATGGAATTAAGCTACACCTCTTGAAGGGAGTACTATTAAAGAATTTGTGGATATATTTTAAAACTATAACAGCTTTCTGCAGGGAACTAGTTCTCTGCTAAAAGAATGTAAATTATTTTTATAGTGGTCTCCCAAACCCGTGGGTTAGCATGTAGTCAGACCAGGTCAGTGACTTCCAACCACTGGACAACAATGGTCCATTCCAGAGTCCACCATTAAGATCCTTCTTCAACCCAAAAGATATATCCACTCTTATCTGTCATAATGCTCTTACTAATACACTATGTTCTTGCCTACCAATACTGACACTTCGATGCACTCTGTGCTCTCTCAAATCCACATTCTTATTAGATTATCTATGCCTGCAATATATTTCTAAATAATTTTCTTATCTTACTTCTTCTTGTTAATCTTTGTGGATAAAAATCCTGATACATCTCTGAGATCTAGCTCAAATGTTCCCACCTGTTAAGGTTTTCTGTGTTAAGAATAGTTTGCCCCCCTCCTCCTGTCCCCTCACATGCTCTTAGCCCACCTTTTACTTCAGCCATTGCCATGGCAACTAGCTTCACACAGATGGAACCTGATAGCACCTCCCTTAGCTGCACCAGCTGTCTTATACTTTCTGTGCAAGCTTCTCTGACACAGAACACCTGAAGTAACCAATTTGTTCACTCGCTCATGTGCAACCTGGAAGTACGAAGGAGTTAATGCACCAGTGGGCAATAATTGATTAATGAAAAAGAGTTCTTATTAAGTTCTGATTTATTTTGTCCCTCAAACCGGCAGTTCTGGGACACAGTATTCATGACTCCACAAGATCCAGGCAGAATCCAGTCAACTTGCCATCAGCAGTGATCATTTCAAGAATGTACTCTGGAATTGGCTTTCCCTTCTTCCCTGTTTCCCTCTGACTGGTATGACACTCCTCTTCCCTGAAAATATTTCTGAAAATAATCTACCTGCCTATTAGAAGGTACAGCTTGGACTTTATTTCAAGATGGATACTTTTACTATGACATTCTCCCTGATGATCTCAATGGAAAGCAATCACTTCTTTTTTCTTATCTATTGCAGTAGGTATTTTATGTTATTTTTATTATGCCTCTTTGTACTTGGCTATAAAATTGTTTAAAGTGGAAATTGTGTGCTATTCATTTTGATGACCACAATATTATCACAATGTTTTTCATATTATAGGTTTTCAATCATTTTCTGGAGGAAGATATATATTTAAAATTACTTAAAAGTAGATGGTATAGCCAATACATATGGGTGTTGTCTAAAAACTTGATACTTTTTTTTTTAAACGTGCACAATAAATAGTTGGTCAGTGAGACAAATCAAATTCAAATTGTTTAAAACTAAATTCTCAGAAAGGATGCAAACTGTGTCCACCTGGGTTTTGGGAAGCATCTTTTCTGGAAAATTATAGCCATAGATTTATGGAGAATTTTCAGGGATTTTATGAATTTATGGAGCCTAAGCATCTTGGGAAGATCATCTGATCCCGTGTCTGTGAGATATCAGGACAAAGAAAATAACTTAGAAAATAATCAGATTATTATAGAAATAAAAAACATTATCTTAATCAACCACATCATTTCCCTTTGTCTTGTTTTATAATATTCGGCAATGCTAATGAATAGTTCCTAGCAAAAATATCCTATTTATCAATTGGTTAATCAAGTTTCCCAAATCCCCCCAAACTTAATACCTTTCATTTAAAAAATTTGTAAGTTATGGTTGCCCCTTTTCTCATTTGATTTTCTTGAAATAAATCTCCCACACACAGTAGCCAAAATAATTTTTAAATATATATCAGATCATGTCATAACCCTGCTTAAAACAAGGCCATGTCAGAATCAGTTTCCCTCTTTACCCTGAACTCACAGCCCTGCATGATCTGACATTTACTTGCCACTCCCACCTTTCACAGCATTCTCACTCTGATTACTCCACTAGTCACACAACCTGACATTCTTTAACACTGAAAACCCTTTTTATTTCCAGGACTTCTCCCTGTATCTGGAATGCTCTTCTCCTATCTTTTTGCATGTCTGAGTCAGTATTATTCTTTAAGTAACAGCTCAGTGTTACTTTCTTAAGATAATTCTTCCCTGACCACCATATCTAGTAGAACTATACTCAATAATTTCTTTCATAGCACTTTTTACATTATGACGTTGTTTATTGTTTTATTACTTATCTGTTTATTATCAGCTTTCCTAGTCTCTGTACTTCCCTCTTCTCCCCCAACCAGGCCAATGAAAACAGGGACTTTCTCTTTTGCATGCATTACTATGTCTGTAATGCTTATCCCATAACAGTAATATTCAATCCATTTCGCTCAATAAACTAACAAGAAACAGTATAGCATTGTAGGGGAAGCATGGGCTTTGAAGTCAGACTGTCTGGCTTTGAATAATCTCTCCACTGCTCACTATAGTGACAAAAGACTTGACCTCACTGTGCCTCAGTAAAATGAAAATGATAAAAGGACCAACTTCATAACACTGTGTGAAGATTAAATGCGCAGAACCGGTCCAGAACAACAAGCACTCAATAAGCATTAGCAATTATGCAGGATGGATTAAAAAATAAAAAAAGAAAATAAATAAAATAAATGTAAAGAAGATAACATAGCTTTATTTAATGAGATGAGAGGTGCCTGTATCTCTGCCAATCATTTGAAAAATTAGGGACTCTGCTAGGCAGGGCATGTAGGCAGGGAGGAAGGAGAGTGGGAATGGATACTTTTTGCTTATTTCATGTAGAAAGGAACAATTTAAAATTCCTCCTTCAGTACAGCCCCTGAGGAAACTGACTCTGATCACATGATCATTAAAAATGGCTAAGAAAAACTTCTAGGGTGTGGGAGTTAATGTTCTTGGAGCATCACATCATAATGACATGGGGGATTCCTCAGGAAAAAGGAGGAAGGTGGGGAGATGCTAGCATTTCCTAAGCTTAACTCATGAAAAGATTGGATTGTTTTCCAAAAGATTTTTTTCTACAGAAAAAAAATGAAACCAGAAGCAACTCATTATGCTAAGTTTAAGATTTGTTTTCATTTTTCCAGAGTCTTGAAATTAAGATTGGATGGATAGTAAGGTTAAAATCAGTAATAGAAAACAAGATTACATATTTTATACATCTGAGTTATAGTGTATAAATTTTGAAATTCTAGACACACACTGTATTAGTGAATGGCCTCTGTTCTCCAAAGAAAGAAGCAGAACCAATAGGAGATACGAGTGTGGAGATATGAGTGTGTGTGTGTGTGTGTGTGTGTGTGTGTGTGTGTGGAGAGAGAGAGAGAGAGTTTATGAAAATTGGCTTAGGCAACTATGGAGGTCAAGAAGTCCCATTAGCTGCCATCAGTAAGCTGAAGGACCAGGAAAGCCCATCGTGTCATTCATTCTAAGTCCCAAGGGCTGATAACCAGGGAAGATGAAGTCATAGCTCCCAGTCTGAGTCAGAAGGCCTGAGAACTTGGAAAGTGGGGATGGAGAAAAGGTGGTGGCAGGGGACATTGGTGTAAGCCTCAGCATCTAAAGGCTGGCAAGAATCTGGAGCTCCTATGTTTGAGGGTAGGAAAAGATAGATATACTAGCTCCAGAAGAGAGGGAATTTGCCCTTCTTCCTACTTTTTGGCCTTTTGGGACCCTCAACAGATTGATGGTGCCCATTCACGGTGGTGAGGATGGATCTCTTTACGCAGTCTACTAATTCAAATTCTATTCTCTTCCAGAAACATCCTCATAGGCACTCCCAGAAATAATGTTTTACTAACTATCTGGGCATTCCTTAGTTCAGTCAAGTTGCCACATAAAATTAACCATCTCAAACATGCAAACACATTCATTTACAACAGTACTTAACAGTATTTAAATAAATACTGCAAAGGAAATTGACCAATCATGCCATGTCTGACACTAAAGAAGAGATTTGCAGAAGGATTGCAAAGATAGTACAGATACTTCATAGAGCCCACACCCCATATTAACATCTTAGTTTTGTTGTAATTGATTTATTCAGATTTTGCTATTTTTTACCTTTTTTTTTTGGAGGATTCTGAGTTTCCTCATTGCATTTAGATGTCATGTCTTTTTAGGCTCCTCTTGGCTGTGACAGATTTTCAGATTTTTCTTGGTTTTGATGACCTTGACAGTTTGAAGAATACTGGTCAGGTATTTTGTAGAATGTCCACATTAAGTATTTATCTTATGTTTTTCTCATGATTATATTAAGGTTTTGGATTTTGGGGTGGAAGTGCCATTCTCGTCACACCATATCAAGAATACATACTATCATCCACATTACTTATCATTATTAATGTTGTCCTTCTGCACCGGCCTAAAGATATGATTGTGAGGTTTCTGCATCATAAATTCACCTCTTTTTTTCCTCCCTTTTCATACAGTAATCTACAGAATAAAGTCACTGTCTATAACCCACATTTAAGGATCAGGAAGTATCTACATGAGTGCAGAATATCTGCATAAATTACTTGGAATTCCTCTGCATAGGGAATTTGTCTATTTTCCTCCATTTACTTACATTTTTCATTATTTATTTATATAAATTTGAATTATATTAAGTTTGGATTGAGTTCAATATTACTTTTAAAAAAATTCAAATTATTCAAGCTTTGCTCAGTGGGAACTATTTCAGCTAGTTCCTGTGTCCCTTTAACACACCCCCCATTACTTTTTGGAAAGCACTTTTTGTCTTTCTGGCACTACAAGATGCTCCAGGATCATCTTGTATAAGTCCTGCCTCAGGCCTAGATAGTTACGTATTTCTTCAAAAAGCAGATGGTTCCCTCTATTGAAGAATTGTATTAGAAACCAAAATCGGACGGTAGGTGTGATCATTGCTACTAGACTATCATGATTTTAGGTTCTCTCAGCTTTTAGGACAAGAAAATATGTATGTGTTTGTACTAGCCAATATATTTACAGGTATACATGAATATTTCTATATGTCACTACTTCTGTCTATATTAAGTTAAATATGAATTCACACAGATGTCTCAAACTCCAATTATCAGGTGGATACTTTTGGATTCCTCCTCTTGCTTATCTGTTGTCTCCCACCCCAACAATGAGAAATCTAATTGTCATTATATGCCATTCATTAATTTAATCATTCAATTTCAGTATAGATGTAAAGCATTATAATAATTCTTAACCTAATCTACCATATGAAATAACTTTCTTAACTAGAGTACAGTGTTGATGTGCAGCTTCTTTGCTTTTAGTCTTCCTACACTCATTTCCAAAATTGCTTAAGTCAGCAACTTTTCACCCTACCCTCTTCAGTAAAGTTATTTTATGTATTAGTAATAATTAGATTATTTTGTTACCTTCTTCATTATATCTTGTAATCTTTTCATTAGGTTGGTGCAAAAGTCATTACTTTTTTGTCATTACTTTTTATTTTTAAATTTTGCATAGGTAAAGACTTAATCTGTGCTATAAAATTATATGGGTTGAAACAATTGCATAGTTTCATATATCCATCATTTCAGTATAAAATGGAATAGCATCACCTCCCTAAACATTTTCATCCCCTGTTCTTCAAAGATTCAGCTCTCTTCCACCACCATCCAACTCCTGGTAGCCACTAATCTTCTTACTGTTTATATAGTTTATCCTGTGCAGAATGTCATACAATTCGAATAATACAGTATGTTGCCTTTTTTAGGCAGGTCTCTTTCACTTAGTAATATGTATTTAAGATCCATCCATGTCTTTGTGTGGCTTAATAGCTTATGCCCTTTATAGTTGATTAGTATTCCATTGTAACAATATAAAATAGTTTGTTTATCCATTTGCTTATTGAAGGACATCTGGGTTGCTTCCAGTTTTGAGTGGTTAGGAATAAGGTTGCTATAGATATTTATGCCCAGGTATTTGTGTGGATATATATTTTTAAATCACTTAGGTAAACTTAAAGGAGTCTGATTGCTGAATTGTATGTTAAAATTATGTTCAGCTTTGTAAGAAACTGCCAATTTTCCAACATGGCTACACCATGTTGCATTCCCACCAGTTATTAATGAGAATTCCTATTGATCTACAACCCTCCAGCATTTGGAATTTCACTTTTTTAGATTTTAGCTATTCTAATGGCTAAATATCGAATGAAATATGTGATATTTCATTGTTGTTTTAATTTGGGTTTCCCAATTCTTGATGTTAATTTGGATTTTTCTAAAAATATTGAGCATCTTTTCATATATTTCCTATCTGTATACATTTTTGATAAGGTGTCTGTTCAGATCTTTTGCCCATAACTTCATTAACTTATATTTTAGCTTTAAGAGTTATTTGAAAATTTAGCTCTAAGTCTATTTTTCATGTACATGTTTTGCATATATTTTATCCTAGTCTATGTCTTCATCTTTAATTCTGTCAACAATGTCTTTCACAAAGAACTTTTAAACTTTTAATCAAGTCCAAAACATCAATTTTTTAATTTTATGATTCATTATTTTCATGTTACAGCTAAAAATTAACCATCAAACTTAGGGTCACATAGATTTTCCCATATATTTTCTTTTATAATTTTATAATTTTTATTTTATATTTAGAATATACTTTTTATGTCAGTTATACATCAATACAATTTTTTTGTTTGGTTGTTTTCTGGGGGATTTTTGTTGTTTTTGTCAAGATGAGCCTTGTTTTTCAAGACATTTTTGCCAAGTGCATAACTCCTAGGGATTGAACCAGATTAAAGACAGGCTGTCTTCTACTCCAAGCTAGCCTGAACTGAGCAAGATCAAAACTCTGGTAACATTTTTTTCTCCTTCCCATATTCTGGTAACTGCCAGGACCAAACCTCATCTTGGTGTAATCAGCCCTGGAGTATCAGTCTGTTATGTCTCCCTCAGGATGTCGATATCTCTGGGTCTCTGGTAAACTTGAGGACCCCTGAAATTTTAGGTTTATTTTTTGAGACTATCATGGTGAGGAAGGTGAGAAAGGACAGATTGGTTTGTACATGGCATACTTTCAAACTCTTAGGTCCATAATGCTTGAAGCATAATACTATACATGGGTTTTTATGCCAAATTTTATGTCTTTTATAAGGTAACCTGAATTGATTATATAAACTAAAATTCTTCTGTTCTTGTGCAAATCTTACTTAAATAATTGATAACCAGGAAACCAGATTCATAGACTCCTTGGAAACCACAGCATGGTTATCAGAAATGCAGGCAGTTGGGCATAGCTGATATTTGAAAAGCCAGATTTATTATACAGCCAATTTTAATGTTGAAGTACCCTCCCTTTGGTTGAAAATTAGATTTTGTTAATTAAAATCCCATTTATCTAAATTGTATTAGGTTTCCTACAAATCTGAAATGTGAAAAACTGCAAGTGATACTGACATTATAAAGCCAAGTCTGCACAGGATTTGGTGAGTTATAATTTTCAGATGTGTCCTTGGCCTAGCTCTCCCTATGAGGAAAATAAGCATACAATAAAAGACAAAATAAAGTCCAACATTACACTCTGAGAAGACACACAATTTAGAAGCAAGTGGATATCACCATATTGATAAATCCTTATCCTGAATTATTTTGCAGTGGATATTTGAAAGCAGTAAAATGTTATGATAAATGAAAGTTCTGAAACCAGATTTATGGGTTTGTATCTCAGCTCCAAAAATGACTGGATCATTGATGTTGTATATGTTACTTAATCTCTCTGTGCCCCATTTTCTTAACTAATATGTAGCCATAATGTATCAGGGAACCCGCCCTGATGTTCACATAGGTTCTTTTCTATTTTCCTTAAGCATCAGCCGGCCTGAGAAATAAAGGGACAGAGTACAAAGAGAGAAATTTTAAAGCTGGGCATCCGGGGGAGACATCACATGTCGGTAGGTTCTGTGATGCCCCACAAGCTGCAAAAACCAGCAAGTTTTTATTAGGGATTTTCAAAAGGGGAGGGAGTGTGCGAATAGGTGTGGGTCACAGACATCAAGTACTTTACAAGGTAATAGAATGTCACAAGGCAAATGGAGGCAGGGCAAGATCACAGGACCACAGGACCAGGCTGAAATTAAAATTGCTAATGAAGTTTCGGGCACCATTGTCATTGATAACATCTTATCAGGAGACAGGGTTTTGAGAGAAACCAGTCCGACCAAAAATTTATTAGGCAGGAATTTCATCTTCCTAATAAGCCTGGGAGCGCTATGGGAGACGGGTCTATTTCACCCCTACAGCCTCGACCATAGAAGACGGACTCACTTAACGGGGGCCATCTATAGGCCTATACTCCCAGGCGTGTATTCTCTTTCCCAGGGATATTCCTTGCTGAGAAAAATAATTCAGCGATATTTCTCCCATTTGCTTTTGAAAGAAGAGAAATATGGCTCTGTTCCACCTGGGTCACCAGCGGTCAGAGTTTATCTCTCTTATTCCCTGAACAATTGCTGTTATCCTGTTCTTTTTTCAAGGTGCCTAGATTTCATATTTGTTCAAACACACGTGCTCTACAATTTGTGCAGTTAACGCAATTATCACATGGTCCTGAGGTGACATACATCTTCCTCAGCTGACAGGATTAAGAGATTAAACTAAAGACAGCCATAGGAAATCACAAGGGTATTGATTGGGGAAGTGATAAGTGTCCATGAAATCTTCACAATTTGTTTAGAGATTGCAGTAAAGACAGGCATAAGAAATTATAAAATTATTAATTTGGGGAACTAATAAATGTCCATGAAATCTTCACAATCCACGTTCTTCTGCCATGGCTTCAGCCGGTCCCTCCATTTGGGGTCCCTGACTTCCCGCAACAATAATGGGTTCGATTGCTGCCTCTGCTCACAGGAAAATACCTCACTAGTGTAATTTAGTGCTAATTTGGTAGGAATGAGGTTCTTCCTTCACCCTTGTTTTCATCAGGATGTCCAAATTCCCTCCAGGTCTCTTCAGGGGAAGCTTACAAGTGTCCAGGACTCTTGAAGATCAGGTGTTCACTGTTGATAGTAATGCAGGATTTTTTTTGCTCCTTAGCTCAGCTAAAATCTGTGTTCTTGTCTCATGATCAGGAAAATTAGGCAAGCGGACACATGGAAAAGTGAGGAGAGCAGAATGTATTAAAAGAAAGCTCTTAACAAAAAAAGAGGCTGTCCTGCCAACATGTTCCCACCTCACAGACTGAATACCAGACCACCACACATGAGCTGAAGAGACCAGGCTCCTACCCCTACATAAGGTGTGAATTCCTGGTGACTCCACCCCATTCTTCCAGTGTGCATGCAGGCTGTTAGTTTGAGCCACTCCATATTGATTTATTTCCCTCACTGTGCATGGTGTGAAGGGATAGAATTTTTCACCATGGTCAGGTTTAGGCAAGTCCCCTGTGCAGGTTCCCTTATCAGCCTCCTACATCTATCAATAGGTTGGAAGACAGGGGTCCACAATTCACCACAGTTTTATCTCAGGGGTTGCCCAAATCATTTCTTCATTCCTGTTTAATTGTCACATTTCTTTTTCTTCCTCATTTCCACAGACCAGTTTTATTTAAGGAAAAATCTATGTATCCAAAGAAAACCTTCTTCAGTTTAGATTGGCAGTTTCTTTCAACCTCTTTTTTCTTTTCTGTAAGATGGAGGGAGGAAAATTGGCCTTTGGGTGTGAACCCAAACATATCTGAGACAGATCTCAATCAACTGGGAACATTTATTCTGCCAAGGTTAAGGACACACCTGTGATGCCTCAGGAAGTCCTGATGACATATGCCCAAAGTGGTCAGGGCACAGTTCAGTTTTATACATTTTAGGGAGACATGAGACATCAATCAGTATATACAAGATGTATGCTGATTTGTTCTGGAAAGGCAGGACAACTCAAAGCAAGGTAGGAGGCTTCCAGGTCATAGGGAGATAAGAGATAAATGGTTGCATTCTTTTGAGTCTCTGATTAGCCCTTAACTGAATATACAATTTACATGTGAGAGAAGGGTAGAGGCATAGTCATATATGCTTTAGTCTGGCTTAGTGAAACAATAGGCTAAAGGAAGTAATCAGATATGCATTTGTCTCAGTTGAGCAGCAGGATGAGTTTGGGTTCTGTCGGTCCTTTGTCCACAAGGAATTTCCTTGTGGGAAAATTGTGAGGGAGGTATGTAACTTTCTGTTATTTTTGTAGCTATCTTATTTTGGAATAAAATGGGAGGCAGGTTTGCCTGACTCAGTTCCCAACTTGGATTTTCCCTTTGTATTAGTGCTTTTGGAGTCCCTAGATTTATTTTTCTTTCACATTTCCCATCTTTTCTTTTGAAAATCTTTCAGAGAAAGCATTTTAGATGAAATTGAGTCTCTGGTCTCAGGTTTTTTTCTGATCTCTCATGCATAGAATGGTTTATCCCTAAATGGGTTTTTCCCATGTTATTAGGGAAGCTCATTTTTAGCAGGTTGTAAAGTCTCACATCCTGAAAAGAAACAATAGGAGGAGGAAGAGAGAAAAACTACAACAAACAAACAAATAAACAAAAAGTAAAGAACAATTATAGAAAATAGATATAGGCCATATTATTCTGAAGTCCACACATCAGTAGGCAGGTGTAAAGATGGTTTATGAATGTAAATAGGTTGCTATTTTTTTTTAATCTTCAACTATCATTTTAAGTTCAGGTGTACATGTGCAGGACAGGCAGGTTTGTTGCATACGTAAACGTGTTTCATAGTGATTTGCTGCAAGGATCATTACATCACCCAGGTATTAAGCCCAGCATTCATTTGCTGTTCTTCCTGATGCTCTGCCTTCCCCACCCCATCAACAGGCTTCAGTGGGTGTAGATCCCCCCCTTGTGTCCATGTGTTCTCATCACTCAGCTGCCACTTATAAGAGAGAACATGTGGTGTTTGATTTTCTGTCTGTGCATCAGTCTGCTGAGGATAATAACTTCCAGCTTTATCCATGTCCTTGCAAAGGACATGATCTCACTCATTTTTATGGCTGCATAGTATTCCATAGTGTATATGTACCATATTTTATTTGTACAGTGTATCATTGATGGGCATTTAGGTTGAATCCATGTCTTTGCTATTGTGAATAGTGCTGTAATGAACATACGTGTGTATGTAACTTTATTATAGAATGATTTATATTCCTTTGGGTGTATACCTAGAAATGAGATTGCTGGTCTAATGGTATTTATGACTCTAGATCTTTGAAGAATTTCTACAATGTCTTCCACAATGGTCGAACTAATTTACACTCTCATCAACAGTGTAAAATTGTTCCTTTTTCTCTGCAACCTTATCAGTATCTGTTATTTCTAGACTTTTTAATAATAGCCATACTGACTGGCATGAGATGGTATGTCATCGTGGTTTTGATTTGTATTTGTCTAGCAGTCAGTGATATTGATGTTGAGCTCTTTCATATTTTTTTTGGCCACATGTATGTCTTCTTTTGAGAAGTGTCTGTTCATGTACTTTGCCCACTTTTTAATGGGGTGGTTTGTTTTTTTCTTGTAAATTTGTTTAATTTCTTTGTAGATGCTGAATATTAGACTTTTGTTAGAAGAATAGATTATGAAAATATTCTCCCATGATATAGGTTGTCTGTTCTATCTAATAATAGTTTCTTTTGTTGTGCCAAAGCTCTTTAGCTTAGTTAGATCCCATTTGGCAATTTTTGCTTTTGTTGCAATTGTTTTCAGTGTTTTCATCATGAAATCTTCACCTGTGCCCACGTCCTGAATGGTGTTGCCTAGATTTTCTTCTAAGGTTATTATAGTTTTAGGTTTTATGTGCAAGTCTTTAATCCATCTTGAGTTAATTTTTGTATATGGTGCAAGGAAGAGGTCTAGTTTCAATTTTCTGCATATGGCTAGCCAGTTCTCCCAGCACCATTTATTAAATAGGGAATACTTTCCCCAATGCTTGTTTTTGTCAGGTTTGTCAAAAATCAGATGGTTATAGGTGTATGTTCTTATTTCTGAGTTCTCTATTTTGTTCCATTGGTCTATGTGTCTGCTCTTGTACCGGTACCATGCTGTTTTGGGTGCTGTAGCCTTGTAGTATACTTTGAAGTCAGGTAATATGATGCCTCCAGCTTTGAACTTCTTGCTTAGAATTGTGTTGGATATTCAGGCTCATTTTTAGTTCCATAAGAATTTTAAAATAGTTTTTTTCTAATTCTGTGAAGAATATCAATGGTAGTTTAATGAGAATAACATTGAATTATAAATTACTTTGAGCATTATGGGCATTTTTATGATATTGATTTTTCCTATCCATTAGCATGTAATGTTTTTCCATTTCTTTCTGTCCTCTCTGATATCCTTGAGCAGTAGGTTGTAGTTGTCCTTGAAGAGGTCCTTCACTTCTTTTGTTAGCTGTATTCCTAGATATTCTATTCTTTTTGTAGCAACCGTGAATGGGAGTTCATTCATGATTTGGCTCTTTTCTTGCCTCTTATTGGTTGAAGGAATGCTAGTGATTTTTGCAATTGATTTAGTATCTGGAGACTTTGCTGAAGTTGCTTATCAGCTTAAGAAGCTTTTGGGCTGAGACAATGGGGTTTTCTAACTATAGGATTATGTCATCTGCAAATGCTGCAAAGATAGTTTGACTTTCTATCTTCCTATTTGTATAACTTTATTTTTTTTTTTGCCTGCCTTATTACCCTGGCAAGAATTTCCAATACTATATTCAGTAGGAGTGGTGACAGAGTGCATCCTTGCATGACAGTTTTCATGGGGAATTCTTCTAGCTTTTGCTTATTCAGCATGATATTGGCTGTGTTTTGTCATATATGGCTCTTATTATTTTGAGTTATGTTCCTTCAATACCTAGCTTATAAACCGTTTTTAACATAAAGGGATGTTGAATTTTATCAAAGCACTTCTCTGTGTCTACTGAGATAAACATGTGGTTTTTGTCTTTCTGTTTATGTGATGTATTACATTTATTTATTTGCATATGTTGAACCAACCTTGCATCCCAGGGATGAAGCCAGCTTGATTGTGGTGCATAAGCTTTTTGGTGTGCTGCTGGATTCAGTTTGCCTGTATTTTATTGAGGATTTTGCCATCAATGTTCATCAAGAATACTGGCCTGAACTTTTCTTTTTTGTTGTTGTATCTCCACCAGGTTTTGGTATCAGGATGATGCTGGCCTCATAGGATGAGTTAGGGAGTATTCACTCCTTTGTGTTTTTTTTTTGGAATAGTTGCAGTAGGAATGGTACTAGCCCTTCTTTGTGCCTCTGGTAGAATTCAGCTGTGAATCTGTCTAGTCATTGGCTTCTTTTGGTTGGTAGGCTAGTTATTACTGCCTCAATTTTAGAACTTATTATTGGCCTGTTCAGGACTGAATTTCTACCTGGTTTTGTATTGAGAGAGTGTATGTGTCCAGGAATTTATCCATTTCATCTAAATTCTCTAGTTATGTGCACAGAGGTATTTACAGTATTCTCTGATAGTTGTTTGTATTTCTGTGGGGTCAGTGGTAATATCCTCCTTATCATTTCTGAATGTGTTTATTTGATTCTTCTCTCTTTTCGTCTTTATTAGTCTAGCTAGTGGTCTATTTTATTAACTTTTTCAAAATACAGTGTTTGGATTCATTTATCTTTTGAAGGGTTTTTCATGTCTCTATCTCCTTCAGTTCAGCTCTGATCTTGATTATTTCTTGTCTTCTGCAAGCTTTGGGGCTTGTTTGCTATTAGTTCTCTAGTTCTTTAATTATGATGTTAGTATGTTAACTTGAGCTCTTTCTACCTTTTTGATGTGGGCATTTAGTGCTACAAATTTCCCTCTTAACACTGCTTTATTTAGCTGCATTCCAGAGATTCTGGCATTTGTCTTTTTGTTCTCATTCGTTTCAAAGAACTTCTTGACTTTTGACTTAATTTCATTATTTACCAGAGTCATTCATGAGCAGGTTATTCAATTTTCATGTAACTGTGTGGTTATGAATGAGTTTCTTAATCTTAAGTTGCAACATGATTGCTCTGTGATCTGAGAGATTGTTTGTTATGATTTCAGTTCTTTTGCATTTGCTGAGGAGTATTTTCTGATTATGAAATCAATTTTAGAGTAAGTGTCATGTGGCAATGAGAAGAATGTATATTATGTTGTTTTGGGATGAAGATTTCTGTAGATACCTATCAGGCCCACGTGATCTAGAACTGAGTTCAGGTCCTGAATATTTTTCTTAATTTTCTGTGTAGATGCTCTGTCTAATATTGTCAGTGGGATGTTAAAGTTTCCCACTATTACTGTGTGGGAGTCTAAGTCTCTTTGTATGTCTTTTAGAACTTGCTTTATAAATCTGATTTCTCCTGTATTGAGTGTATATATATTTAGGAGAGTTAGTTCTTCTTGTTGAATTGAACCGTTTACCAATATGTAATGCCCTTTTTTTTTTTTTTTTTTTTTTTGAGATGGAGTCTCATTCTGTTTCCCAGGCTGAAGTGCAGTGGTGCAATCTTGGCTCACTACAACCTTCGCCCACTGGGTTCAAGCAATTCTTCTGCCTCAGCCTCCCTACTAGCTGGGATTACAAGCATGCACCACCATACCCAGCTAATTTCTGTATTTTTAGTAGAGATGGGGTTTTGCCCTGTTGGCTAGGCTGGTCTCAAACTCCACCTCAAGTGATCCACCCACCTCAGCCTCCCACAGTACTGGAATTACAGGTGAGAGCTACTGCACCCAGCCTCTTCTTTGTCTTCTTTGATCTTTGTTGATTTAAAGTCTATTTTGTCAGAAACTAGGATTGCAACCCCTGTTTTTCTGTTTGTTTGTTTTCCAATTGCTTGGCAAATTTTTCTACATCCCTTTATTTTGAGCCTATGTGTGCCTTTTCATGTGAGTAGGGTCTCTTGAAGACAACATACTGATGGGCCTTGGTTCTTTATCCAGTTTGCCATACTGTGCCTTTTAATTGGGGCATTTAGCCCATTTAAATTTAAGATTGGTATTTTTATGTGTGAATTTGATCCTGACAACATGATGCTAGCTTGTTATTTTGCAGATTTGTTTATGTAGTTGCTGCCTAGTGTCACTGGTCTTCACACTTCAGTAAGTTTTTGTAGTGGCTGGTAATGGTTTTTATTTTCCATATTTAGTGCTTCCTTCAGGAGTGCTTGCTAGGTAGGCCTAGTGTTGATGAGTTCCCTAGCCTTTGCTTGTCTGAAAAGCATCTTATTTCTCCTTTGCTTATAAAGCTTAGTTCGGCTGGATATATGAAATTTGGGGTTGGAAATTCTTTTTTTTAAGAATGTTGAATATTGGTCCCCAATCTCTTTTGTCCTGTAGGAATTCTGCTGAGAGGTCCACTGGTTATTCTGATGGGGTTACCCTTGTAGGTGACCTGGCCTTTCTCTCTGGCTGTCCTTAACATTTTTTCTTTCATTTCTACCTTGGATAATCTCATAATTATGTGTATTGGGGTTGATCTTCTCAGAGTATCTTACTAGGCTTCTCTGCATTTCCTAAATTTGAATGTTGGCCTGTCTTGCTAGGTTGAGGAAGTTCTCCTGGATGATATCCTGAAGTATGTTTTCCAACTTGGTTCCATTCTCCCTGTCTCTTTCAGGTATCCCAATCAATAGTAGGTTTGGTCTCTTCACATATCCCACATATCTCATAGGTTTTGTTCATTCCTTTTGTTCTTTTTTTCTCTATTCTTGTCTGCCTGTCTTATTCCAGAATGATAGTCTTCAAGCTCTGAGATTCTTTCCTCTACTTGGTCTATTCTGCTATTGATGCTTGTGATTGCATCATGAAGTTCTTGTGTTGTGTTTTTAGCTGCATCAGGTCGGCTGTGTTCTCTCTAAGCTGGCTCTTCTGGCTATCAGCTCCTGTATTGTTTTATCATGATTCTTAGCTTTTTTTGCATTGGGTTATAACATGCTGCTTTAGCTCAATGAATTTTCATTATTAACCACCTTCTGAAACCTACTTCTGTCAATTCAGCCATCTCAGCCTCAGCCCAGTTCTTTGCCCTTGCTGAACAGGTGTTGCAGTCATTTGGAAGAGAATAGGCACTCTGGCATTTTTGTGTTGATTCTTCCTCATCTTTGTGGACTAACCCACCTTTGATCTTTGAGGTTGCTGACCTTTAAATGGAGTTTTGTGGGTCCTTTTGGTTGATGTTGCTGTTGGTGTTTTCTGTTGTTTTTTCTTCTTTTAGAATCAGGCCACTCTTTCATAGCACTGCTGCAGTTTGTTGGGTGTTTACTCCAGATCCTAGGTGTCTCATTTATTCCCATACCTGGAGGTATCACCAATGAAGGCTGTGAAATGGCACAGATGGCACCCTGCTCCTTCCTCTGGAAGCTCCATTCCAGGGGGTACTGACCTATTGTCAGCCGAATGTATTTGTAGGAGGTGACTGGAGATCCATGTTGTGAGGTCTCAACCATTCTGGAGGAACAGAATCTGGAACCCACTTAAAGAAGTAGTCTGGCTGCTTTTTGGTATATCAGGTGTGCTGCACTGGGGAGAGGGAGAATCCTTCCTTTTCTGGACCATTTGGATTCTCCAAAGCTGGCAGGCTGGAATGGCTGAGTCAATAGAACTGCACAGATGGCAGCTGCCCCTTCCCATGGGAGCACCATTCCAGGTAGGGTTCAGAGCTCTGTTCATATAACCCTGGCTAGAGTGGCTGAAGCCCTCACAGGGAGGTCCTTCCCAGTGAGAAGGAATGAATCGGGGTCCTGCTTTAAAAGGCAGTCTGGTCACAATGTGGCAAAGCAATTTTGCTGCACTGTGGGTGATGCTTCCTTGTCTGGACCATTTGGATTCTCCAAATCTGGTGGGCTGGAATGGCCAAGTTGACCAAACCACAGAGATGGTGGTGACCTCTCTCCCCAGAAACTCAGTCCTTTCTCAGGCAGACTCCAGCCTGTTGCCATTGGCTGACTGGAATTCCAATCCATTAGGTTTTAACTTATGAGGTGCTATGGAAGTGAGGCCCAGAGAACAATGCTACCTGGTTCCCTGGATTCAGCCCCCTTCCTAGGGATATGTACAGACAGATTTCCTGCCTTGTCAGGAATCTTAGGGTGAAGTATGTAAAACTCCTGGGTCTCTGTGTGTGCCTGAGTGACTACTCTGCCGAAACTCCACATGGCTCTGTTTATCAGACCTAAAGCCTTGATGGCGTGAGGTCACGAGGAGATCTCCTGATCCACAGGTTGCAAAGATCCATGGGAGGACCCCTGCTTTCCTGAGCAGAGTCTCATAATCACTCACCATTTCCCTTGGATGAGGGTGGGAAGTTGACTCTGACTCTGTGCCACCCCCGGGTAGGCCATCACACCACCATGCTTTTCTTCATTCATCATAGGTCGAGTGGTTTGCCTACTCAATCCCAATGCAAGAACCTGAAACACACAATTCTTTCCCAAACAGTCTAGCTCCAGAGTCTGGACTCATAACCACTTCACCATGCTCCATCCACTGGATGTACACTTTTGCCTCATGAATTGTTTTCCTGAGCTGCTGTTCACAGTGTCCGCAGTGTCTGCCAGAAAGTCACCAAAGTTGCTAATATTTTCTTCAGAAGTTTTTCCAGCTTCAGTTCACAGGGTTTTTAAAAAGCACATCTTAAGTTTTAGTAATTTCAATTATGGATAAATGGGGAAAAAGATATAAAAGAAGGAAATAATTAAACTGTAGCAAATAATAAAAAATGAAAAACATTAGGCAAGACAAGAGTCTAATAATAGGTGTACTATAGTTTATTTTGAAATATAATTCTTCTCTCTCCAATCCCTGTTTTCATTAATGACAAATCACAGGACAAAGTTACGTCTAAAATAAATGTTAGTCTTATCATACTTGGCCTGAATATTTGCATAGAGTCAGCAAGAATAATCATTTGCTATATAGGCTCTTTTTAATGGCTCTGCTGGAAGTTTATTTAATAAGGAATCTCAGATTAGACTTTAGTGCCTTGAGCCCAGCCTGTGCCTGCAAACACCTGTATTAATTGGATGAATTCCTCACCGCAAAGTCTCAAAATGACTTGGGGAGCATGTACTGGTCAGAAAGTGATATTCTTTATTCACCACAGGTCAGGAACCTGTACAGGGGCTGTGTAGAAAAGATATGAGGGCAGCTTTCCCAAGGGGCTTTTACTGTCTCTGTAAGTCAACTCAGATCCCATAAAGCAATGTGTTTATATCTGAAAGTATGCCATTAAACTTAAAGTCCTTCAGGGGCTTTGAGGTCAATAAAAAAAACAGATCCTTACTGAACTTATGTAAATAACTGTACTGCAATAAACTAAGTATACTTGCAGATAGTTTTCAAACTTTGAAGAAATATGGTAGAGAGAATTATTCTTCAGATTTTGTGCACCTGACTGTAGTTTACCCAATTGTTAAAAGCCGTGAATAGCCCACAGACAAAGGGTTTTCTGGACTCTGAAACAAGAGTTGCCAATATTTCAAACAAAGTCATAAAAAGATTATTTCAATCTTCCATTAGTTTTAGTCTATGTAATTCACTCCTCTTCTACTTCATGTTTATGAACACATTAGCTCTCTGTGGGAGTCTTGGAAGTTTTTCCTCTATTCTCAGGTCACAATCTCCAAAGTTATCAGAAACCTGCATTCAAGAGCATCTGTCAGAGTCCTATAGCTGATTATAAAAACATTTATTGAAAAACAGAAAAGTAAAACAACTGTGGATTACAAGAGTCTCAAAACAGTCAAGGTTAAAAACACAATTCACAAGGAAATTTTGTTACTTCTGTGGCATACAAAGATCTTATATAATAATCATAATTACTACTAAAAATGTATGCTAAGATATATTAGAATCACAGGAACCTCATGCAATCCTGGAACAGACACTAATAACACATTTATATGAATATAATCCGAATAAGGTTAAACCCCATTTCATATTTGACAATACAATAGCCTGAAATCCAAAAGAAACATATTCAGCTTTGTTATAATAAAATGATTTTATTTGACAATGATTTTATTATATCAAGCAAGCCAAATATCTCTCTTTTGGACTTCAAGGGGACCTAACATCAAAGTTAATGACAACCAAAGTTAGAGTTTGATTTTGGAAAGTTTGTCAAATATAAATAGCTTAAAACACTTGATATCACAAAGTAGAATCACAGGTAATTGTAAAATAAGTCATTAATTTAGCCAAAGTGATAACTCAAAGATTTCAAAAAAAGGCAAAAATCTCATTCTTTGAGAGAGGAGGCTTTATTTCCCAAACAATAATCCCTAATAATAAAGACACCATGAGGCCAATTAAACCCATCTCTCAAAATTTTATAAACAAAATCTATTAAATTTTAATCATCTTGGTCATAAGATATGATTTCCATAAATCTTTTTATAATCTTTATAGTTATTTATTAAGGAGTGGGTTAATGCTCCAAGAAAACCTTGTTAATCTGACACATGGGCCCAAATATTGGTTTTGCATCAGTGTGCCTTTGAAATTAAGTTAATTTATTTAAAAGCAGAACTAATTTTGTCTCAAAATTGGCCCTTACAATCTCACACCCACCTCTTTCATGACAGTCTCTGGGCCTTGAAGATTTGAATAGTTTTAAATTCTGACCCTGTGTCTCACAAACACAGTTTATTTTGATTGGCATCTTTTATTGGGTCTAAAGATGAGGCTTTAACTACAGTCAGTGTTTAAGATTTAGCAGGATTTGTTGTTTTTTTTAAACCCAGGAATCAAAGTGCTATAACTTAATGGCAGAGGACTTTAAAAGCAAATACAGAAAATTACATGGACATAATAACCTTAATTAATTTTTTAATCTCAGTTTTTTTAAACAAATCAAAACTTAATAACAATGACATAGGAATTATTCTGATAAATGGTTAGGCCAGTTACCAAAAGGCAAAAGAAAAGACATGCAGTGATTGCTGTTCTCCATGGGGAGTCCATTTAGTTAACCTGCAAATCAAAACCAAGGAAAAGGGTATTTGAGTTAGTTAAACATAGGAGGAATGTTTCCTGGGTCATAAGTGAAAATTTTCAGATTCATAGAACAATTTCAAGCCAAGAGCACAGAATGTTATGTTGGAAGAAAACATTTCCTTTAGACCTTTAAGATAAAACATTTTTAGCATCAGACCACAACAGCAGTTAGAACCTAAGGGAGAAAGAAAAAAAATTGCAGAAGCTAAAAATGAGTTGAAGAAGACAGTTATTATTTCAGGCCTTTTTAAAGTGAGAGACTGCTGAAAACATCAAGACACAATAAAAGTTTAACTTTGCTTTAAAAAATAAATGTCTTGTAATTTTATTAAGATGCGTTGCAACTGTAAGAGCAGAGGACTACATATAGAATTAGAGAAAATAACAAGATTGATTAATACTTCTATATGTAATTTCCAATATATGTTAATACCCAGAGCCCAGTGATTGATAGACACATAGTAAGAGTTCGACAGACTTACGTTACTACCTAATCACAATCACCCTTGTGATAACACAGGGTTTTTTTCTAATTTGAAAGCTCAGAAAATATTATGAATCTCTGGCTAGAGATGCACCAAAAAAGAGAACTCGATTGACCATTTGAGACAGCCACCAATAATAAAGAGACTAAAAAACAGAGTAAAACAAGGGTTTGAAGGAAAGAAGGCAGAAGATTTCTGAATGCATTCTTTAACTGACTTTTATTTTCTCATATATTTTGCTAAGTGCCAATGGAAAGTTATTCAATGAACAGCAAGAAAGGCAACTTGCTTGACTTTGAGTATCAGTCTCTCTAGAGCCTGGAGCTGACACTGGATGTTCCAGATGGTGCCAAGTCAAGGATTTACTCCAGGAACCATGTAGGAAGGCCTCTAACATGTTTTTTTTGTTTGTTTGTTTTTGTCGTTGTTGTTTTTTTCCAGCCCAAGTAATTTGCAAGTCACTTCTGGGTAAAGCAAATTTTAAAAAGAGAAGGAAAATTATTTTACGGTATTAATTGATGGCAATCAACCAGACAAATAACTGTAGCTAAAAGATTGAAACCCCCCCCACCACCACTTATATATTCAGTCAGTTTTGTAACTTATGTTTTATTTCTTAAGCCATACTTGGGTCAGTTTTACATGTGTTTATAAACTAGAGTCGTACATTTTACTTAAACAGATTATCAAGCCCACATCTTTTCCTTTAATTTTCATAAAACTCTAGGATAGTCTCTTGGGCTATCTTGAGGCTAAAGTGACTTGATCATATTTTAAAATTTGTTTTCAATAAACATGCAGGTTTTTTTGCAAGGAAACTCAGCTTGATTTTTACGTAATAATAGTCTATTGCATATGATTTACATGTTAACTATTATGCTGTTACTCTCTTTGCTATAATTAAAGTTAGCATTTTATTATAAAATCCTATTACCTAAGTTTTACAGCATGACAGTAAATATTCCCTGAAGCTAATAATAACCTATCCAATTATTTGCATTTATTTTTTATATATTGAAATGTAAATTTGTTTCTGGGTATTTTCTCAAAGTATGGGGATAGTAAAAAGTTTAGAAAGTTTCATATTTGTTTTATTTTAATTTCTTAGTTTTAAGTCAAGATTTACTCTGGTTTTATCATTATTGAGCATTTTCATTAACAGTTGCTTTATCTTTACTAAAATTAGTTTGGGTCATATATATTTGAAGTAGCATTTTCTATATGAAAACCACCTTTACCATCTGTGGTACCATCTTTACCTCACCATTTGTGTGGGCTCTGAACAATCCAACTAGTTCTGAGTAGTGTTCTTGTAGCAGAGATAGACCTTTTCAGAACTTTGCTAAGGGCCAACACTCAGCCAGTCTTAAAAATTTACAGACACAAGGACAACTCCAATGAACAAATGTCACTTACTTTCACTTTCCAAAACATAAACCATGTCCACTCTCTCTTGTAAATCCACCTTTCCTACCTTTGAAGGAAATACTCTAAAAAGAATTTGTGATAACATGGATTCATTGTCAAGAGGCCTAAGTCCTAGCTGGCAGTCTGTCCAAGAAAAAAATCTTTTGACTTCTGTAAAATTCAGTTCACGGTATGAAGGTTTTGACAGATAATTTATTGTCTTGTTTTGTTTTAAAATTTTCAGATTCTAAGAGTTAAAATTTCAATGTCAAAAAAGCTGTGTCTAAATCCCAAATCTATTCTGATTAGCTCTGTTAGCTGGCCAATTAACTTTCCTGAGGTTAGATTTCTCATCTGTGAAACAAGATATTGATGGCAGCGGTGGTCTGTCTAGAGCGGTCGCTGCCATCACACCAGCTGCAGCTGGGAGGCAAGGTTGTTGGCGGCAGGAGTGGCTGCTGGAGCAGCAGTGGTAACAGTGCCCTGTGCCCTGCATCCCTGAGGCAAGCGACTACACCACCCCCACTCTCGCATGGTTGAGCAGGACCCACTCCCAGGCCCAGAGCCTCTGCCACTCTGAACCCTGGTACCGCATCACCGCTCTCCCCCGCTGTATGCTGCAGGGTAAACATGGAGAAGAGGCGGGTAGTCCTCAGAGCCTGACCCTGGGAGCAGCCTGCCAGAGCCCGCTGCCCTGGTAGCCAGCGCATTGCTCTTGGCAGGAAAGCAGTGTGGTCAGGCACGGAGGAGTAGGCAGAGAGGGACCCAGTGAGGACCTGGAGCCCCCACCTTAGGCTACGAGGAGGCATGGTTTGGGTTGCACGCTCCACAGAGCTGTCAGGAGCCAGGGACAAGTGAGAGCCCTGCCCCTTTCGAGTTGGCAGGGTGAAAGCTCGCCAGGTGCAGTGGCAGCCTCTGTGCCACCGCTGTGGACCCAGGCATCTTTGCACTCTTAGGGATCTACGGAGGCCCTCTGCCCCGCACAGGCTCAGAAGTGTCTGCTTCCACTGCCTGGCCTCTCCCTGCTCCTCTTGTCTGCTCTGATCTCAGAGCAAGTATGGGCCTGGGTGCTATCACAGCCAGGTCGGGTGTGTGCACGCTTGGGGCACTGCTGGCATGCCAGCCCCCTGCTTCCTTAGCCCACTCCAGACTTTGGGCACCAACGAGCATGGGAGGGAGGCTGAGGTAGGAAGGACTGAGGACAGCCCGGAGCTGGACTGCAGGTGCTCCTGACATGAACAGCCTGCGTGCCATAAATGGTGGCAGGAGGCAGACAGGCTCCTGGGTAGAAGGAAGTGGGTACCCAGTGAAGCCCTACCTTCAAGCCTGAAGCCTGGGGGCCAGGGAGCCAGTCCTCTGGACTGGAGTGGGAATGTGTGGTGCTTTTCCCTGGGCCCACGCATGGCCTCCCATGGACCAATCAGCACACATTTCCTCCCCTCTGAGATCCATAAAAACCCTGGACTCAGCCTAACTTGAAGAAAGGGCAGAGAGAGGTCAGGGAGACGACAGGTCAACCAGCTGCAGAGAGGAGCTGCCCGCCCCAGGTTCTCCTGTCTGCTGAGAGCTGAGGAGACAATGGTACGACTAGCTGCAGAGAGGAACTACCCTCTCTGGTGAAAGATGAACTCTCATCAGGAGGACCTGCCAACCCATAGTTGACCACTTGTCGGGACACCCTGGCTATGGAGAGGAGCTGCTCACTGCAGGCCTCCTCTGAGCTCTTCTATTGCTCAATAAAGCTCCTCTTTGTCTTGCTCAACCTCCACTTGTCCATGTACCTCATTCTTCCTAGATGCAGGAGAAGAACTCGAGGCCCATTGAATGGAAAGGCTAAAAGAATTGTAACACAAATAGGACTGAAACATATCTCTTGCTCACCACATTTCAGGGAAAAAGAAGGAGAGAAGAGCTGTGGCCCTTCAGGGATCCCAGACATAGGAGCTCCCCAAACAAAGGCCGTGACTCCCTCTTTGGGACCCTGTGGTTCCTGGTGTCTCCAAACTTCTAGGCACCACCACAATCTCTGGTGCCAGCTGGGGAAGCTGCTTATGGTGCCCCTGGTTCAGCTGCAGCCTCTCAGAGAGCTGGCATCTGTACCAACACTTGGAGCTGCCCAATCCATGACAGTAGCCGGCACACCTAACTGTGCACAGTGGCCTGACCCCACACTTGCTCACACATCCCTCACTGCTCCATGCCTGACTCACAGTCTCCCTTGGAGGTGTGGGATCCAAGCTAGTAGTGTGAGCCCAAGTGTAGTCTGCCAGGCTGAGAGGGCAGCATGAGGCCAGTGGGCCTAAGAAAAACTTGAGCAAAGGTGCCACTAGCCACAGAGTTTTCCAACCAGGAAAGCAACACCCCAAAGATCCCATAACAGTATCAGATCTTCATGTGCTTTTCCAGTTAAAACATAAGTCATATAAGCTGCCACCTGTGGTGGGCAGCTCCTCTCTGCTGCTGGTTGACCCGTCATCTCCCTGATGTCTCTCCGCCCTTTCTTCAAGTCATGTAGTTATGTATCTTTTAATCTTATAACTAGTAACATAAGTTACTAGATTCATATATAGTAGCAGTGAGATATAAAGAAAACTACAAGTGATGGCATGTTGGATGTATATATTTTATTCTACTCTTTCCTTAAATACTATTAGTGACACCTGGAAAAAAATGTTCACGAGGTAAAAAATAACAAGGACAAAGAAATGGAAGAAGACACAATGGCAAAAAAATGTAAAAGCTGGAAAGCTGAAATAGGAAGGATGACTGATTGGGTCCACCCAAGAAGACTGAACCCTAAGGCAACAGTGAGCAAAACAGAGAAACAATCATATTTATACCTTGGAACCTATAAAAGGCTCCAGAATTACTTTAATAGTTACCCTTGGAAGTGGGCAAAAGGTAGGACAGTAAATGGCTGCTGAAAAAAATCTTTGTGAGGTGCAGTAGACCTTCACGTACCCTATTCTTGAAGGTATGTAATGCTCCTGCTCTATCCAGAAAGGGATTAAGGTTCTAAGTTTCTGTATTGGGTCAAACTAAGGGTTTCTGGACTGGAGGAAAACAGGCCAAGCAGAAGATTGGAGTCCTTAAAGAAAATAAGTAAGTAAAATACACGTATTATTGAGTCCCCAAAGTTTTTTTCTCACTTGGCCCCTGGCAAATTAGCAGCCAGGCAAGAAATTGAAAGAAATAATCTTCAATTCTTTCAAGGGTAACCTGACATTTGAGGAGTGCACTTGACATGAAGTACAGAGGCCAAAACAAACACTAAAAACAGAGTAAAAAGGTAACTTGGAGGAAATACTACATGATGAGAAAAATACCTTCAAAATGACTAGTTCTAACCTCTCCAGAGACATAAAAATTATATAGCATCCACTAGGCCAGAATAGGATGCTATTAAAAAAGGAGTGTTTGGAGGAAGAAACATTTCTTAAAAATTAAAAAGTATACAGAAGAAAATAAAATTTCAAGGAAAAGATGAGAAGTTAAAATTTAGGGCATATATTAAGATACAGAGCAAAAGGGCTAAAAGATGTAAAGAACAAAAGATATTAAAATTAGAAAGTCCAGGAGTTACCACATCAAAATAGTAAGAGTTTCTAGAAAGGGAGAACAGAAAGAATACAGCATAAGCATAGTGTAAAAAACAACGAAGAAGAAAATCATGAAAGAAATAAATCAAAAATCAATTATAGAACTGAGAATATGTCATTTCCTTTTGAAATGGATCACAGAAAGTTTAGCACAATGAATGAAATAACCAACACCAAGACATGTGATTGTGAAATCTCAGAAGACTGGGGATAAAAACCATCTTATCAGCTTCTAGAAGTGGAACAACAAAAAACAACAACAACAGCGACCCAAAACAAAAACAAAACCAGATTTCATAGAAACAGCAAAATTAATATTGAACTTTTCAAAAGTAACACTGGAAACCAAAAGCCGAGCAATTTTTTACAAAATGCTGCAGAAGTTCACTCAAAATTTCAATAAACAGGAAGCATGCAGGAGTGGATGAAAACGTGGAGAGTGAACGCTAAACAATGGTCCATAATAAGAGTAAACTAATAATGCCTAAAACTGATAAAATTAACAAGTGTCAATATTAACATGCTACTTAGAGATATAAAAGTAAATTCAAAGAGAATCAACTTAAAGATTTAAGAGTGGTTGTTTATAGTGTAAAGGAAACTGGGTAGGAAGGGAATACAGTTTTTTCATAAAATAATTCATAGAACTATTTAATTCTTTAAATCATACGCAAACTTAAAAATAAAACTAAGTTTAAAAAAAACAAGGTGACAGTTACCAAAAAGATTTGGAAAGATGAGGGGGAAACGTAGGGTGGAGGAATGCAAATGATGAAGAAGAGGAGGAAACAAAGAAAGAAAAGGAAGAGAAGGAGAAAGAAAAAGGGAAGGAGGAGAAAGACTAGGGCTATTCTCTAGCCAACTAATGTAGTATCTTAGGCCAAAGTTTGATCAATGAGAGTCCCAGAATGGGGGAAAATAAAACAAAACTTTTAAAGTTATTGACCAGTCCTCATAGTTATTTTAAGTCTTTCTTTAACATGAAGAAATCAACAATCAAAATAAAGAAGGTAAATTTCAGGCTTAAGGAATGTTCACAGAAACTCCTCAAACAAGATTTTACAATGTACTTTAATCAAAAGCCTATTTTGCTTATGGTTATTTGAATTCATGGCCTCAATTTTCTGCTTAATTTTACTACCAGAATTCTGGCTGCAGTGACATGAATATGCTAATATTTTTCTTCTTTGCCTGTTTTGGAATTGATAGAGAGGAAAGCCCCAAATGACTTTCTTATATCTATCTAAATCCTGTGAAAGATCTGCAGGGGGGATCCTACAGGCTAGCATACACCTGTATTGGTGGAGCCACTGATTTACTCCTTGTCATTCACATAACATTGTGATGAGGGAAGCAGACATATTGAAGGTGTGAAGTCAGCAAGGACTGTAGCAGATCCATCTGAGAAAACAGTACAGTAACTCGATGGCAAGAAGAAATGGGGGAGTGTATCAGTTTGTTTTCACATTGCTGATAAAGACATAACCAAGAATGGGCAATTTACAAAAGAAAGAGGTTTAATGGATTTACAGTTCCACATGGCTGGGGAGGCCTCACAATCATGGTGGTAGGCAAGGAGGAGCAAGTCACATCTTACATGGATGGCAGCAGGCAAAAAGAGAGCTTGTGCAGGAAAACTCCTGTATTCAAAACTGACAGATCTTGTGAGACTTATTCACTATCACAAGAACAGTACAGGACAGATCCTCCCCCATAATTTAATCACCTCCCACCAGGTTCCTCCCATGACACATGGGAATTATGGGAGTTACAAGTCAAGATGAGATTTGGGTGGGGACACAGCCAAAACATATCATTCTGCCCTGGCCCCTCCCAAACCTCATGTCATCACATTTCAAAACCAATTAAGCCTTCCCAACAGTTCCCCTAAAGTCTTAACTCAATTCAGCATTAACTCAAAAGTCCACAGTCCAAGGTCTCATCTGAGACAAGGCAAGACCCTTGTGCTTATGAGCCTGTAAAATTAAGAGCAAGTTAGTTACTTCCTAGATATAATGGGAGTACAGGTATTGGGTAAATATAGCCATTCCAAATGGGAGAAATTGGCCAAAACAAAAGTGGCTACATGGCCCATGCAAGTCTGAAATCCAGTGGGGCAGTCTAATCTTAAAGCTCCAAAATGATCTCCTTTCACTCCATATCTCACATCCAGGTCACACTGATGCAAGAGGTGGGTTCCTATGGTCTTGGGCAGCTCCATTCTTGTGTCTTTGCAGGGTGCCACCTCCCTCTCAGCTGCTTTCACGGGCTGGTGTTGAGTGTATGTGGCTTTTCCAGGTGCACAGTGCAAGCTATAGGTAGATCTACCATCCTGAGGTCTGGAAGATAGACAGTGGCCCTCTTCTCACAGTTCCACTAGGCAGCAGCCCAGTAGGGACTCTGTGTGGGGGCTCTGACCCCACATTTCTCTTCTGCACTGCCCTGGCAGAAGTTATCCATGAGATCCCTGCCCGTGCAGCAAACTTCTGCCTGAACATCCAGGCATTTCCATACATCTTCTGAAATCTAGGTGGAGGTTCCCAAACCTCAGTTCTTGACTTCTGTGCACCTTCAGGCTCAACACCACATGGAAGCTGCCAAGGCTTGGGGCTTGCATCCTCACAGCCTAAGCTGTACCTTGGCCCCTTTTACTCACAGCTGGAACAGCTTGGCTGCAGGGCACCAAATCCCCTGACTGCACACAGCACAGGGACCCTGGGCCCCGCACATGAAACCGTATTTTTCTTCTAGGCCTCCAGGCCTGTGTTGGGAGGGACTGCCATGAAAACCTCTGACATGTCCTGGAGACATTTTCCCTGTTGTCTTGGGGATTAACATTCGGCTCCTCATTACTTATGCAAGTTGTTGCAGCTGGCTTGAATTTCTCCTCAGAAAATGGGATTTTCTGAGGAGAAATTTGTAACTACTGATTTGTCAGGCTACAAATTTTCTGAACTTTTATGCCATTTCTCCTTTAAAACAGAATGTCTTTAACAGCACCCATGTCACATCTTGAATGCTTTGTCGCTTAAAAATTTCTTCCAGTAGATACCCTAAGTTGTCTCTCTCAAGTCCAAAGTTCCACAAATCTCTAGGGCAGAGGCTAAATGCTGCCAGTCTCTTTGATAAAACATAACAAGAGTCACCTTTGCTCCAGTTCCCAACAAGTTGCTCATTTCCATCTGAAAACACTTCAGCCTGGACTTTATTGTCCATATCACTGTCAGAATTTTGGGCAATGCCATTCAACAAGTTTCTATGAAGTTTCAAATTTTCCCACATTTTCCTGTCTTCTGATCCCTCCAAACTGTTCCAACCCTTGCCTGTTTCCCAGTTCCAAAGTTACTTCCACAGTTTTGGGTATCTACAGCAGAGTCCCACTCTACTGTACGAATTTATTATATTAGTCCATTTTCACACTGCTGATAAAAGCATATCTGAGACTGGGCAATTTACAAAAGAAAGACATAATGGACTTATAGTTCCACATGGCTGGGGAGGCATCACAATCTTGACAGAAGGCAATGAGGAGCAAATCATGTCTTACATGGGTGGCAGTAAGCAAAAAGATCTTGTACGGGGAAACTCCCATTTTTAAAACCATCAGATCTCATGAACTCATTCACTATCATGAGAACAGCACAGGAAGGACCTGCCCCCATAATAATCACTTCCCACTGGGTCCCCCCCATGACACATGGGCCTTGTGGGAGTTACAATTCAAGATGAGATTTGGGTGGGGACACAGCCAAACCATATCAGGCAAAGACTCACTTCATGGTCTGATGCCCCAGCAGGAAGCATTTAGCTGTGCTCATGAAAATAAATCCAGATGTACAGAATGTCAAACCAATCATCCCCCTTTTCTTTACTCGAAACAGCCCTGTGTTTGAGTTTCTTTCCAATGGTATTGTCCAGGAAGAGTGAGGCCCCAGGCTCAGCTTAACACTTGCCAACCTTCCTGCAATACAGGGGTCCTGCTCAGAGTGTGAGGTCCACTGGGCAAAATGCCCACATCCCTGTCTACTCTGTCAATGCCCATTTTACACATTTTGACCCCAGTGCTTGGCCAGGCCTCCTAAACTCTGGGAGGAGCATAGAGGCTTTGCTATGTAAATAGATTTGAGAGCAATGGAAGATGCAGGGGACAGCTATTTTAATATATTCTCTGAAAAAGGAACTCAATATGCTTCCTGTGTTTTTTTCCTTGCACTGATTTTTGATTAGTATGCAGGAGGCCAATTATTCCTTCTTAAAACACCAATTTTTAATTGATGGGTTTTCCTCATATTTTTAGATGTGGACATTCTATTTAACTCTATAGTTTGGCCTTGATGGTTCTTCCTGTTCCAGCATTCCCTACCTACTTCACAGAGGTGGAAGAGATGGTCACACTTCAGTGAAGGATCCTACATCAACTGCAAGTGAGAGTTTGAGAAGCTGACATTTGAGAAGCCATGCTGTGTTTCCATGGAAACTATTTGCCGTTATAAGAACAAGTCTTAGTGCCAGATTTCAATCTCAAATGCACGAAGCACAGAACTACACTTTCTAAATGGGGGAAGAGAAATGGGTAATGGGAAAAATGCTAATTTGAAGCCATTGAATGATTGTTTTCTGCAAGTTTAAAGCCTAGTTCTAAAGTTATGTGTTTTTGTTTTACGTAAATAGTTTACAAATAGTGTGTGCAAGTTTGATTTTATCAGAGGTCTAGGCATATTGAAAGTGAAATGTGGCCGGGTGCAGTGGCTCACGCCTGTAATCCCAGCACTTTGGGAGGCTCATGGGGGTGGATCACCTGAGGTCAGGAGTTCACAACCAGTCTGGCTAACATGATGAAACCCCATCTCTACTAAAAATACAAAAAATTAGCTGGGCGCAGTGGCACGCACCTGTAGTTCCAGCTACTTCAGAGGCTGAGACAGGAGAATCACTTAAACCCGGGAGGCGGAGGTTGCAGGGAACCAAGATGGTGCCACAGCCCTCCAGCGTGGGCGACAGGGCGAGACTTTGACTCAAAAAAAAAATTGAAATGTTTTTAATAAGAGACTCTCATATTCAGAGGGAACTCAAGAAAGCCATTTAAACGTAAAAGCACTGCAAAGGACAGTTTTGTATTTATATTATTCACTGTGGAGTTGTGAAAGAATGGCATAGACTCATCTTTGTGGAAGCATAACACCATTTCTAGGCACTAAGTGACAAATTGGCTGTGTGTTAAAAAGTTACTATGAGGATAGCAGGTATGTGAGACGTATGTTAAACGAAGGCTCAGAAAAAGTGAGTAGGATTCTTTTGTAACATATAAATAATGACAAAAACAATTGATGAAACGGAAAACATTTGTGATATACTCAGAAACATTCTTGGGTAAATTGGCACATTTAAAGAGTAAGTTAGAAGGAGGTAGGACAAAAAAAAGCTCTTTAAAAAGTGTTGAAAAATCGTTTTAATTTTTTTTATCATCTGGAAAAGATCACAGCGAATTAGAGGATTACTGATTAGGTAACAAATCTTACAAAATTTCCTAATGAAATATTTTACCTCAGGGAAAGGCCTAGCACACAAAAGGATCAAATGATGAGAATTTTTTTCTTTTTCCTTCCAATCTCAATATTTTTTATAGTTTAATTTTTCTCAGTAAATACTATTTTTTAAATTTCCAGCTTTTTGGTTAACAGGGTACATGTGCAGGTTTATTACATGGGTGGATTTTGTGTTGTGGGGGTTCAGTTTACAGATCACTCTGTTACCTAAGTAGTGAACATAGTACCCCTTAGGTATTTTTTCCATCCTTCCCTCCTTCCACCCTGCACCCTCAAGTAGACCTCAGTGTGTGTTGTTCACTTCTTTGTCTCCATGTGAACTCAATATTTTTCTCCCACTTACAAGTGAGAACATGTGGTATTTGGTTTTTCTGTTACTACATTAGTTTGCTTAGGATAATGGCCTCCAAGTCCATCCATGTTGCTGCAAAGGACATGATCTAATTTTTGTTATAGCTGCATAGTATTCCATGGTATGTATAAACCATATTTTCTTTATCCAGTCCACTGCTGTTGGGCATCTAGGTTGATTTCATGTCTTTGCTATCGTGAATGCACATACACATGCATATGTCTTTGTGGTAGAATGATTTATATTCCTTGGGGTGTATACTCAGTAATGGGATTGCTGGGTCAAATGACAGTTCTGTTTTAAGTTTTTTGAGAAATCTCCAGACTGTTTTCTACAGTGGCTGAATCAATTTACATTCCCAGTAGCAGTGAATAAGTGTTCCCTTTTCTCTTCAACCTCACCAGCAGCTGTTACTTTTTGACTTTTTAACAATAGCCCTTCTGATACTGAAATGGTATCCCATTGTGGTGTGGAATTGCAATTATCTAATGATTAGTGATGTTGAGCATCTTTTCATATGTTTAATGGACATATGTATGTCTTCTTTCGAAAAGTCTCTATTAATGTCTTTTGCCCATTTTTAATGTTTTTTCTTTTTTGCATGTTCAGTTGTTTATGTTCTTTATAGATTCTGGATATTAGACCTTTGTCAGATGCATAGTGTGGAAATATTTTCTCCCCTTCTGTAGGTTGTATATTTACTCTGTTGATTGTGTGTGTGTGTGTGTGACTATGTGTGCTGGGCAGAGCTCTTTAGTTAGTACCAATTGTCAATTTTTTGTTTTTCTTGCAATTGCTGTTTGAGTCCGGTCCTATATCCAGAATGGTATTTCCTACCTTGTCTTCCAAAGTTTTTATAGTTTTAGGTTTTCATGTAAGTGTTTAATCCATCTTGAGTTGATTTTTGTATATGGTGAAAGGAAACAGTGTAGTTTTAATTTTCTTCATGTAGCTAGCCAGTTACCCCAGCACCATTTACAGAATAGGGAGCCCTTTCTCCATTACTTGATATGATTAACTTTGTTGAAGATCAGGTGTTTGTAGTTATGTGGCTTTATTTTCACATTCTCTAACATGTTCAATTGGCCTGTGTCTATTTTTTTACGAGTACCATGAAGTTTTAGTTTCCATAGCCTTGTAGTATAGTTTGAAGTTGTGTAATGTGATTTTTTTCCTGCTTTGTTCTTCTTTGCTTTGGCTATTTGGGGCTCTTTTTTGGCTCTGTGTACATTTTAGAACAATTTTTTTCTAATTCTGTGGAAAATGTCTTTGGGTAGTTTGATAGAAATAGAGTAAATTGCTTTTTAACAGTACTGATCCTTCCCATCCATGAGGATGGAGTGTTTTTCCATTTGTTTATGTCATCTCCAATTTCATTCAGCAGTGTTTTGTAATTCTGTTTGTACAGATCTTTCACATCCCTAGTTAGTCATATCCCTAGGTATTCTATTCTTTCTGTGTCCATTGTGAATGGGACTGAATTTTTTATTTGGTTCTCAGCTTGGATATTATTAGTTTATAGAAACGCTATTGATTTTTGTACACTGATTTTGGTCAGAGACTATGGGGTTTTCTAGGTACAGAAAACTGACGAGAATTTTTTAACAACCTTGTTATATACTGCTTTGACAGTTTGCTAAGTTATAAGAGGGATTATTTTAAGTGACTCATGATGGCCCGGGACAAGGAGAATGGAGACAAAGCCTTCTACCTTCCAGAAGAAAAAAAGAAAAAGAAAAAACTATCAGCAAAGTAATAAGATCATTGAAATCACATAAAGAGCTATAAATAAACCACGACACTCAGGTAATGGATCTATTGCACAGCAGCAAATTCTTCATCAAGCTATAAAAATTTTAAAGGAAACCTATCTTTTCTGTAATTCACCAAATGATGGTAATTTGGTATTTCCATTTTTATGATTTGCATCTATGCTCATGCTTCACCCACCTGCATGAAGTCGTCTGCATTGCATTACATCAGTGAGTAAACAAAGGACCCAGTAGGATACAGAGCTAACATTCCACAAGAGGTGGCAAGCTCTAAAAACATAGCTATATAATATTGTCTTTGGGGGAAAAGACCCTCGAAGAAAAGTGAAGTAATGAAGGAAATAGAGAAAAACTGGACTGCTACTTTACATTGTCCATTGTGAATGGGGAAAAACTTTTGAGCAGAGACCTAAATGGAATAAGGGAGCAGAGAGCCTTGTGATTATTTTGGGGGACAATCATTCTGGGAAGGGGAAAAAGCAAGGAGAAAGGAAGCAGGAACCTGAAGATCACACCTGCATAGAAATGTTCTAAGGATAGCAAAGAGGTCTGTATGGGTGCGGTTGAGTGAGGAAGGGGAGAATGAAGGAAAAATGGTCAGGACAGAAGCATAATGGCATTTCTAGGCATTAAGTGACAAACTGACTATGAGTTAAAAACTCATTGAGGCTTTATCAGCTACTGTAAATACTTAGAATATTATTCCTAGTGCTGAGGGAAGTCATTGGATGGTTTTGAGAAATGAAATACCATGATGAAACTTAAGATTTGAGAAAGGATTACACAGCTACTAACAGAAAGGTTTGTATTTACAACATATTCTAAAAGTAGAACCGGAAGATTCTGAACAAAGGAATGGATATGAGCTGTGAAATAAGAAGAGGAATCAAGATTGATTCCAAGGATTTTGGCATGAGGAACAGAAAGTATGCTAATGCCACTTCTTGGGAAACCAAATGTTTAGGGGATGGGAAAAATTATGAGTTCAATTTCCAAAGTTAAATTTGAGTTGTCTCTTAAAAATCCAACTGAAGATTAGATGTATGAGCCTGGAGATCAGAAGAAAATTCAGGGCTACAGATACAGTTTTGGATATTATATGCATATCTATGATTGTTAAACCCATGTAATTAGAAAAGACCATCTAGGAAAGGAATGTGGATGTGGAAGAGAAGATGTGCAAGAGCAGAGTTATGAAGCATTGCAAGCTTCAGTGGTTAAGAAAGGCAGGAGGGGCCAGGTATGGTGGAGACTCACTTCTATAATCCCAGTACTTTGGGAAGCCAAGGCAGGAGGATCACTTGAGCCCAGGAGTGTGGGTGATGTCACCAAAACTAAGGGAAGAAAGTGCTTCAAGGAGAAGGAAGGGATCAATTGTGTCCCGGCTGTGAGTTACAATAAGATGTAGACTACAGATACCTTTGGAATTTGTCAATTTGGAAGTCATCAGGGAGGTTAATAAGAGCCTTTTTAGTGGAGTGGTAGGAAAATAAAATTAACTGGATCCAAAAGAGACTGGCAGGAGAAGTAGGTAAGAGAGTAAAGCCATCATTCTGAGAAATTTGCTGTAAAAAGGAGCAGATGGCTATATCTGGCAGGACATGGGGTCAAGAAAAGGTTTTGTTGTTTTATGATGGCACTATTACACATTCTTCTACATGAATGGGAAATATACCATAGGGAAAAAATGTGATGGTGAGGATGATGGTGAGAGAAAAAATAATTCTGGAATCAAAGCCTTTAAGAAGCAGTGAGATAATGGGATCAAACATACAATTCAAATTACAGTCTTAGGAACATGGAAAGTTCATACACTATAAGAGAGAAATGGTTGAATAGTAAAGAAAAATATATGTAGGATTTTGTAATACTTGCTGATGAGAAGCTGTAGAAATACTTTTCTGATGACCTCTATTTCCTGAGTAAATTCCAGAGGGCATTGATAGAGTTTCAGGGATTCAGGAGTATATGAATTGCATATTGCTCAGTATTAATATTATCATAAACTCAGCAGCTTAAAACAACCTACATTTTTATCTTCCAATCTCTGTGGTTCAGGAGCCCAGTTATGGCTTATCTGATTCTCCTCAAGACAGCAGTCAAGATTTTAGCCACCAGAAATACCTTTTGACCCAGCAATCCCATTACTGGGTATATACCCAAAGGAATAGAAATCATTCTACTATAAAGACACATGTGCACATATGTTTACTGAAGCACTATTTACAATGGCAAAGACATGGAACCAACCCAAATGCCCATCAATGGTAGACTGGATACAGAAAATGTGGTAATATACGCCATGAAAGACTATGCAGCCATAAAAAGGAATGAGATCCTGTAATCCCAACACTTTGGGAGGCTGAGGTGGGCAGATCATGAGATCAGGAGATCAAGACCATCCTGGCTAACACGGTGAAACCCCATCTCTACTAAAAATACACAAAATTAGCCGGAGGTGGTGGCTGGCACCTGTAGTCCCAGCTACTCGGGAGGCTGAGGCAGGAGAATGGCGTGAACCCGGGAGGCAGAGCTTGCAGTGAGCAAAGATCCCACTACTGCCCTCCAGCCAGCCTGGGAGACAGAGCAAGACTCTGTCACAAAAAAAAAAAAAAAAAAAAAAAAAAAAAAGGAATGAGATCATGTCCTTTTCAGGGATACGGATGAAACTGGAAGCCATCATCCTCAGCAAACTAACACAGGAACAGAAAACCAAACACCACATGTTCTCACTCAAAAGTGGGAGTTGAACATTGAGAACACATGGACACAGAGAGGGGAACGACACACACCAGGGCCTGTTGGGGGTAGAGGGGTGAGGGGACGGAACTTAGAAGACGGGTCAGTAAGTGCAGCAAGCCACCATGGCACATGTATACCTATGTAACAAACCTGCATGTTCTATATATGTATCCTGTTATTTTTCCTTTTAAAAGAAATAAAGAAAAAAACCCTGATGATCTATCTAATTCAGACTTACAAGAATTCAGCTCCTCCCTTCCATTGAGTTATAGGTTTACATTTACTTTTATTAATGATAAACTTTGTCCTCTATATGTTGTATTTTGAGATGTAGGCCAATGATAATATGAAACATTGTGGCAAGCAAGATATTAACTAATATGAGATATTTCATCATTAAATTATTTTTCAATTAAAAAAAAGATCTCAGCCAAAGCTGTCTTCTCAAGGCTTGACTGGGGAAGGATTCATTTCTAAGCTCATGTGGTTGTTGGGATGATGTGGATCCATGTAGACTGGTACATTGAGGGCCTTAGTTTCCTGCTGGCTGTTGACTGGTCACCCTCAGTTCTTTGTCATGTAGGCCTCCTCAGTAAGGCTTCATCAAAACCAACAAGGAGGAGGGTCTTCTAGAAAAATGGACATTACAATCTTATGTATCATAATCACAGATATGATAAGCCATCACCTTTGCAGTATTGTGTTTTGTTATTAGAAGTAATTCAAAGGACACAACCACTCTTGAGAGGAAAAAAAAACACACAAAAAGTTCAGTACCAGGAGGTTAGGATAATTGGGGGTCATTTTAGACTCATTTGCTACAGGGAAAAATGGTAAAGGATTGTTCAGTGCCATTTGGAGATAAGTTGAGGAAGGATATGCAGGTTTGGACTTCTTGTCAAGGACTAAGATAAACAGGGTTGTAGGACACAATGGCATTGGTCCTGATGGTATCTTATAGAGAGATAGATGATTAACTCTAATTGTATATCCTTCTTGGAAATAGGTTGGGGTAACTGGAGAATGGGCACCATGGTCATAGTGAGAGTAAGACAAGCTCTGTTTCCCTCTCCTCAATCTAATAGAGAGCAGTGCAGGAGCTAGGGAGGGTGATTTTTCCAGCAGCAGTGAGCTTTCGTATGTCGCTACAGCACAATAGTTTATAGTTAAGCACACATGCTCTAGAACTGGACAGATTTAGGTTTAAAAAGCCTTGGTCTTTTCTCTTGTTAGCTCAGCCACTTTAGGCAGGTTACCATGCATCATTTATTTCAACTATTAGCACATCACTCCATGAGGTAAGTGCTACTATTATTTTCATTTTATAGGTGAGGAAAATAAAAATGAAGCTGAGGATAACTCCCTTGGCATAGAGGATGCTTTGAAGGCTAAAGAGATAACAAAGTTAAAGCAGAGTTAGTAGGAACTCAAAAATATTAGTCATGAATTTCATCTTCATCTATGATAAATCAGTAATCAACATGCTGTAACCCAAAATATATGTAGGAAGTGATGTAATATCAAGCTATTATCTTATTCAGAGTTTGTAATTTATGAAAAAGTGTGATGGACCATAAAACTACAGTTTACTTTCAAAACCAATAAAGTTAAGGCACATTATAAAATGTAAAAATTAATTTGTTATTTCAATTTATAAACTGAATAAAAAAATTTTAAAAGCATGACATCCTGCATTTCATCTCAGTTTTTCTTCCTATAACAAATCTGGTCTGAAGAAATGTCATTTGTAACACTAGACTGTTTTTTTAAAAAGAAACAAAAAATTAGGAAAGAAAGAAGGGAGGGAGGAAGGGAAGAAGTAGGAAATAGGTGGAAAAGACAGAAAGTAATGAAGGAGTAAAGAGAAAGAAGGGAAAAATGAAAGAAGAAGAGAAAGAACTCTATATTTTTAAAATTGGAAAATGAAGTGTTTTTTAACTTATTCCCAAAGTGCTTAGGTTTCAGTGAAGTACCACTAATAAATTGTCAACTTACTCAAGGCTAGTTAGATAAAATTGATTTTTCAATTCATAGCTTAAAATGTTTTATTTCTTAGAGCACAGTAATTAAGATGGCATGATGCTTCTAAATGGTGAATAAAAACACATTCCTCTAGTGTTCATGGAAATACGTGCACAATAACGAAGAAATATCTCAGCTTATAAATTCTTGGATTAGTGCCTGTGAAAGTTAAACTTTGAAAAAAGACCAAAGTGTTGCAGGGCATCATTAAAGAAAAACAATATTTTCTCCATTTTTCCTTAATAACATATGCTGCCATAATGCTGAGCAATAAAAGAACAGTTGTCAATTAATGAAAGACACTTTAATTAAAGGAAAAGTTTGGGGTGTTTCATTAATGATAAAGAGATGTCTGAGATCTATTCATGGTACTCTAATCACATTTGCAGCTAATCAGTTATTGTATCAGTCCATTTTCATACTGCTATGAAGAAATACCCAAGACTAGGTAATTTATAAAGAAAAAGAGGTTTAATGGACTCACACTTCCACATGGCTGAGGAGGCCTCACAATCATGGCGAAAAACAAAGGAGAAGCAAAGGCATGTCTTACATGGCAGCAGGCAAGACAGTGTGTGCAGGGGAACTGCCCTTTATAATCAGATCTAATGAGACCTATTCACTATTACAAGAACAGCCCAGGAAAAACACACCCCCATGATTCAAGTATCTCCTACCAGGTCCCTTCCATGACACATGGGGACTATATGAGCTACAGTTCAAGATGAGATTTAGGTGGGGACACAGCAAAGACATATGAGTTAGTATTTGAATAGAATGAATGACTTATTTTATAAGAGGAATATGTACAAGACAAAAAGTTAAACAAGCTAGAGCAAATAGAAAAATGACCCCACTGAGACCACATATCAACTGGTATTAGATGTTACTAAATTTTGTGAGCAAATAAAAGAAACTTAAAGGTCTCTCAAAACTGACAAGTTTTATAGGAGTCTTCATGCATCTTCAAAAATATTTGTCACTTTTCCTTAAGGAATTTAGCATATTATTTTGTTAAAATAAGGCAGGATGTGGTGGCTCATGCCTGTAATCCAAGCACTTTGGGAGGCTGAGGCAGGAGGATCACTTGAGCCCAGGAGTTTGAGAATAGCTAAGGCAATATAGTGAGACCCCGATCTCCAAAAAAAGACATTTAAAAAAAGTAGCCAGGTGTGATGGCACATGCCTAATCCCAGCTATTTGGGAGGTTGAGTCTGAAAGATCACATGAACCCCAGAGTTCAAGGCTGCACTAAAGCCTGGGCAACAGAGTGAGGACCTGTCTCAAAAAAAAAAAAAAAAAAAAAAAAAAAAAAAAAAAAAAAAAAACTCAAAAATAAACAACAAAAAAATTACCCTAAAGTTTCTCAAAATATGTCTTCTTTGATTCACTAGTTGCACTCCTACAAAAAATACCCCCTAACCCATCCAAGCAGGTGTTGTCAGCATTACCTGGTTAAATACATCAGCCACACTAGAGGAAATGCTTGATTCTCATAAGGATTTATATACAATTGTTCATGCTCCTCAATAACTACTCTAATCAGGGAGTAGAAGCACACATGTAGCAGAAAACTGATCAATGAAATAATAGTAATTTTTCTCTTATCAACTATGCAACGTATCTGTTTTCCCCTTTGTTCTTCAGTATATTCTTCACCTTAATTAAACCGAAGTTAGATGGTTTTAGACAGCTCAAGTCATTCCTCTTGTAAGATATTCCAATTCATAATAAAGATTTTGTGTGCCACTTTCCTGAGTTATAAGAACAAAATGGCAAACGTTTTAAAAATTACATATTATAAAATTTGTTTTCTTGAAAATAGCATCCTATGGAATTCAGTGGATAAGAATTTAATTCTCAGATATAAATTTGGGCAAGTTTACTTAACTGCTTTCTCCCTCAGTTAGTAAACTGGTGAGAATAATAAGATCTAATCCATGATGTATGTAACATACTTGAAACAGTGCCTGGCACACAGTAGGAACTCAATAATTTAATAAGGTTGCTCCTGTGCTTGTTCATATGTTCTTATTGAGACTTTAAAACTTAGGGGTGACTCCTCTGTGAGTATTTCTTTGGCATTTCAAAAAGTATTGACTCTTCCTTATGCGTCCACCATATCTACCTCTATTTTAAGACTTATAACACTATGTAAGATTTTATTAGTAAGAACCCTTCGAGTTCCATAACATAAAATCAACTTAAATTAGCTTCATCAAAAAAGAAAAGTTTATTGGCTAAGGGAATAGAGAGGCTAAAGGCAGACATGATCCAAGGTAGAATCTGGGGATTCAAAATATGTCATCAAGTTGTCTTTTTGCCCACCTATTTCTTTTGCTTTCCTCTCTGTTGGTTTTGTTCATAGAAGCTTTCCATGTGGGACAAAATCTATCTGTTGAGTGCTACAAGCCTATGTTATTAAAGCTCAGTGGGGCTTGGTTCATGTGCCTCGCCCTGGAGCTGTCACTGTAGGAAAGGGAGTAGATCAATTTGCCAGTTAATATCATATGTGCACCCTAAAGGTCCAGGGATGAATGACCCCACTGAGACCACAAAGAGTAGGGAAGGGTGGTTCCTCAAATTTAAAGGTGAGATTTTTTATCAGAAAGTGTTAAAAAACAAAACAAAACAACAAAACACTTGGCAGAACAAACAATGAAAAAACAAAAACCAGATATCTTCTGAGAAAATTATTATTTTGCTTCAAAACTCTGAACTCCTTGGGAATGGAGAATTATGTTCATTTTATTTCCTCATTGTAGAAAAGTAAGCACACTGTGTATGTTTATTAAATAGAAGTAAGGGGTATGATCTTTAATAAAATAGAGTGTAAAAGAAGGCCTTGCTGGGAAGATGGTATTTGAGCAAGATCTGAAGAAAGTGGGGTTGACCATGGTATATTTGTTGAATCTAAGAAACTAACATCGGTTACCTCATACTTTCTTCAGATTTCAGCAGTTCTTTCCTAATGTCCCTTTACTGTTCCAGGATCCAATTTCAGATACTATATTTCATTTACTTGTCATATCTCCTTAATCTCCTCTGGTCTATCACAGTTTCTCTATCTTTTCTTTGTTTCATAATCCTATGTTTTATGTACTACTGGTCAATATTTTGCAGAATGACTCTCAGTTTGGGTTTGTCAGATGTTTTTTGTACATGTCTAGTCTGGGGTTATTTTCTTTGAAAGAATACCAGAGGAAGCATGGTTTTTGAATTTGGAAAAAAACAGATCCTATTTGTGAACTATTTACCAGAGAAGAGAAGGGGTAAATTAATAAGGTAGGAGTGAGAAAGGACCATGGTCATAGAGATGCCTTTTAGCAGACATGAGGAAATAGGATTTAGGACCCCAAAGAGGGATTGGTTTTGATGAAGAAAAGGACAGTTTATTCACAGTGAAAAGAAGGGTTGGCAGAGCAAAGAACACACATGTGCAAGAGGGTACTTTGGTGGTAGAAGCATATAGATATTTTCTTTTGATTGCATATTAAATTTATAAGGCCGTGTAACAAATTATTGAAATTCAGTAGCTTGAAACAATGTTTTTATTATGTCGGTTCCCATGAGGCAGTATATCAGGAATGGCTTCACTAGGTCCTCTGCTCAGGGTCTCACATAGCTACAATTAAGGTGTCAGCCAGCACTGAGGACTCATGTAAGCTCAGGGTACTCTTCCAAGCCGACTTTTTTTTTTTTGGTTCTTTTTGGGTTTGTTTTTTTTTTTTTTTTTGGCAGAATTTCTTTCCTTGAAGTTGTAGACTCATGGTGGCTTACTTCTTCAAGGCCAACAGGACAGCGTCTCTAATTTCTTCTGTCTCTAACCTCTAGATCTGTTTTAAAGGGCTCACCTGATTAGGTCAGCCCACCCAGCATTATCTACCTGTTGATTAACTTAAACTGATTAAAGCTCTCGATTACATCCTCAAAAGCCTCCATCTTTGCTATACTCTGTTACAAGTAAATTACAGATTCAGCTCACACTCAAAAGAAGGGAATTATATAAAGGATGGCTCATTCGGTGTCATCTTCAATTGCTTGTATTTTCTCAGTTAAGTAAGAAGCAAAATTATCAATTCTAAGTGAAAATAGAGGAGAAAGTAGTGACGGTTTCAGGAAATAGGAACATGAATGAAATATATGAGTCTATCTATCTTTTGACTCTAAACAATATCTTCAAAATTTGCAGGGCTTCTCCATGTGATTTCCTAGGATAACTGCTTATCCAACCCGATTTTCATACTTAGGTCAGTTACTAAATATTCTGAGTAGTGTTTGTAGGACTTTGTCATAAACAAAAAGAATTGGTTCTGCTCTCCTTTTAAAGAATTATTTGTATATTAGGAATCATGATTAATGAAGAAATGAGGTTAATATTCAACATACTGTTTTCTAAATTGTTATACTGACTGAAAAGCATGTCAATATTTACTCTTTAATAATTTCTAGTGCATGTTCTGTTTTAATAGCGGTTTAATTTTAGCAAAACATTTAGTGGAGAGAGCACAGGGATTATGCAAATAGGTTGGAAGCTATGAGTATCTCAAACATTATACTCTTAAAGTAAATGACTGATTGAAAGTTGGTTTAAATGGGCTACTTCCAGAATTTCTGCCACTAATTTGTTATATCAACACAATTGCCTTATTTATGTAAGCAATTATTATTTTGTTTATTGTTTTTGATTGTTCTTATACCTTTCTGAAATTGACTGTGTATAAATAGCTCATTTATTAAAAAACCCTGAAGTATAACTACAATTTTATTATTAATATTTTATTTAAAGAAGATTAAGGGAAATTATATATGCCAGTATAGTATTATTTGGCTATAACCATCAAATCATGGAACACATGTACAATCTTCTTGCTGTAGAAAATAGAATAATGACTAATAAGAAATATTCATGAACAGAAACTTCTTATAGCACATTTTTTGTATATGTAAAGCTTCATGTGAATTTTTTTTCAATTCAACATGCCCTAAATTTGCACCTACTTTTATCAAACACTGGAATATAAAGGCAGCAGAGAGAGGGAGGTTGGAGTCTCCTGTCTGCAGCTCTCCTGGGCTGATTCTGTAAGCCGGCATCACTATAGTTCTTGGGTCTTAGGTGTGACCCTACTCCCAGGGCTCCACTAAGCACTGCCATTCTCTCTCACTATTGTCCTCTTCCCAGTAGGAATAAACTAGTGTGAGTGGCATTGCCACTCTCTGTGGTGGCACAGAGAAACCTCATGCTTCTGCTTAGCAGTGCTGTGGTAGGGGCTTTCTATGATGGTCTGGTTCTGCTCCTGTGACAAGTCTCTGCCTCGGCCCTCAGGCTGTCCAAGACATCCTTTGAAATCTAGGTAGAGGAAGCCATGCCCCTACCACTTACATTCTGTACATCTGCCATGGTTTATGACTTGTACCCTCTGGAGTGGCAGGTCGAGCTGCACCTGGGACCACTTGAGCCATGGCTAGAGCAGCTGATGAAAATTGCACTTAAATATAGGGAGCAGAGATCCAAGATGGGAATACCATATACTGAGTAATTTATAAAGAAAAGAAGTTTATTTGTCTCAAGGCCCTGGAAGTTGGGATTTCCAAGATTGAGGAACCACATCTGGTGAGGGCCTTCAGGCTGCCTCATCCATAGTCAAAGGCAGAAAGGCAAGAGACAGCAGAGCAAGGAAGTAACAGAAAGAGAAAAGCCAAGCTGACATTTATAATAAATGCACTCTTGTAATAACAAACCCACTCCCATGATAATGGCTTTAATCGATTCATGAAAGCAGAGCCCTCCCGACCTATTCACCTCTGAACGTTTTCACTTCTTAACACTTTTGTTTTAGGGATTAAGTTTCCAACACATGAGTATTGGGGCATATATTCAAACCACAGCACTGTTTTCTGTTTTCTATCTATGACATTTTATATTCTTAAATGAAACCAAAGATATGCCTGACCCTCAGGCTGCTTGTAATAGAGACAAAGATATTCTGGTATGAAGCTTATCTCAATAGAATATAGTAAATGCTGGAATAGAGGTGTACTCTAAGTGCCTAATGTCTGTGAGAGTAGGAGAAGGGTTGGGTGTAGGGAAATATTTCTGGATGAATTGACCTTATAGTAGAAGGACAGTTGTTCAGATTCATCTCTTTTCAGATGTGAGACATTGGCAAGTTACAGCATATAGTTTCCTTAACCATAAGACAAACAAAACTTAGAATGTTGAATTAATATTACATTAAATAACATGTACGACACCTAATACAGTGTTTGACACACATTAGATACTTATTAGAAATGTTTATTTCTTTTCCTCCTTTGCCTTCTCTGCCATTCTTGCCCTGTTTCCAGTAGAAGTAAACTAGTGAGGAACAATGGAAAAGACATCACACACACAAAAGTGATCTTCACGAGGTTATGAAATAACAAGTTGTGTTGGTTATCGAGCTCACGTAAAATATTGATGTAATAGAAACCAGGAGATGAGACTGCAGTTGTGGGCATAGAATAGTAATGGGACATTTTATATACCTTTTGAAGAAGTTTGTGCTTCATTCTGCAGGCAATGTGAAATCATTGAAAGATTTGAAGCAAGAGAATTACATAGACTCTTATTCTGGATATTAATTTAAATTAAGCAATACCATAGATATAAACAAATTAGTTACGATATAATAGGCCAAGTGGACAACGATTATGTCCTGGACTTGGTCAGAGATAGCACAGATGGAGAGTAGGGTAAACATTTGAGAAATATTTTTGAGAAAAAAGAAGTCATATTTAGTGCTATATGGAATTTTGGGCATGACAAAGTGTGATAAGGCAAAGAATGACCCTAGGTTTCTGGTTATGTGACATGAATGAGAATGTATCAATTGATACAGGGAAAAGAGAAGGAGGAGGGAAGAGAAGAAATTTTACTCTAGTGGGAGTAAAATTGTTGGTCATGGTAAAGATATACTTAATTTTAAAAGAAACCACCAATTAGTTTTTGAAAGTGAGTGAAATGTTACTTGAAAGGCAAATAAAGTAACAAAATCCAGAGTGGATAACAATGTGAATTTAAGGTTTATAATTTTATAGAATTTACTTTTTCCCCAAAACAGCTTTATAGCTGTTTTAGAGAAATGCACTTTTTTTCCAGTTTTCATGACATTGATATGTTTAACATAAAAATGTTGTTAATATTAAATAGCAATCTCAGCAGGCATCCAGTGCAATGACTTCATTTTAAAGATATGGAAACAGGGCAGATCAGTCATTAGCAAACATTTTTGTTTATTTTTTGATTTATGAGAAAGGCATAACTAATTAGACTTAAGGAATCAATAAATAAAAATCTATGTGACCAAAAATGAAGTGCTTTAACGGTTAAAAACTGTCAACACCATGAAAGCAGAAAACTAGTGTCTTATTCATGCATATACTCCCTTAACTACTACATTCTCTGGCAGAAATTCAAGAAATATTTCATTAATGAATACTCAGAAAAAATGCTTGAAGGTACGTGGGTGTCTTACACACACACACATACACACACACTCCTCTTCCAAAATAATTACTTTTAGTGAACTGTGCTTTGGTGTGATATCGTAATCACATACTATAAAGATATTTATAGGAAAGACTTATGAAATTTGTCTTTGTCTTATTTTAGGGAATGTACTGATCAAGATAATGTACATTATATTACCGTATCTTCTTTATGAGAACCCTCAGAAGAATTCTCCTTTAATACCAAGGCAATTATACTTTTCTTGAGAAATTTGTTTCTTATACTATGAACATTGTATACCATGTAGATGACTAGATATCCTTTTTCACATTGGCTATTCAAAGTCTTAAATTTGTGACCACCAGCATAGCAATGTATGTTATAATATTGTTTTCATTTCATACTGGGCTCAATGTGGACTCAATAGGTATGTTCCTATTCTTGCTCTACTTTTGACTGAAACTATATTGTCATATGCTATTCACTCTAATAAATCACATCCTTTCTGAAACAAAGCAGATAAGAAAGAAAGGCAGGTAAGGTGGGAATGAGAAAGAAAGGTCCAATGGTGGGCAGGCAGGCAAAAGCCAAATTAGAAGGAATAATAGAGATTAGCTAAGAGATATTCATCTAGCTCACTTCTTTAGATGCTTTAATCTATGATTTTGCATCAGATAACAGCTGAAGGAAACTATCCCAAAAACAGAGCCCCTCATGGATTCACTTTCACTGACTTTTTTTTTATTGTTATATGCTTAGAATTTATTCAAGTCACCACACAATGACTCGTCATATGAAATTCCCTTCTCAATGTTACAAAATGTTGAGGCTATTTTTCATAAATTACATAGTTTTATATTCTTTGTATCACAGGTCACAAATTAGTGACTCATTAGTGATCCATTAGCCGGATCCAACCGAGAACATTTTTAAAATATTTTATAATATTTGACCATATCATAATCAGAAAAATTAACAGATACACACAGCAAGATATACTTCCTCATTTTAGGGACCCATAGCAACAAAGGGGCAATGATGACAGGAACTGTTGAGAACTCCTTCTGCCACCATGCCCAGCTAATTTTTGTATTTTTAGTAGAGGTGGGGTTTCACCATCTTGGCCAGGCTGATCTTGAACTCCTGACCTCATGATCCACCCGCCTCGGCCCCCAGAGTGCTGGGATTACAGGCTTGAGCCACCGAGCCCGGCCAAGCACTCCTTTTAGGTGAGAATTGTCCACAGTCCCTGGGACTCTCTAAGGTTTTAAACCTGATGAATTCACTTACATTCCCTGACAGGTTCCCATAACCATTTGCATTTTTGACCCTAGGTGTAATTTCTACTTGAGAAATTTATGTTAAAATGTATTGACAAGGTAAAGTTTGCCTCCAATGGGAAAGGAAGTGCTTTTTTTCTGGCAGAAAGAGCCATATAGCCTCTTGGACTGACTACCAGGAAGCTCAATTACAAACGTGTACTCAACCATACATACCACCAGCACTATATATAGGAATTCTTTTAAAAAATTCCATCCATCATTATTTATATATTAATTTTGTAATATTTACCTTTGTAGAAAAATACTTCAAATCCTTTTTGCAAAGACAGTGACTGTATTCTAATAACAGGAACCTTTATGTAAACGCTAATTAAGAATGAATCAAGGAAAAAAATGAGAAAATAGTGTTGCATTACCAGAATATTTCATCTGGGGATTAATTTAAGTCTTTAGCTACCAACACATAATACTAATAGGTGGAAAAATAGGAGAATTTGAGCTCAGTTACTGTTCATATAGTGATTACCGCTAAATATTTTTAAGATATTTATAAGATACCTAATAAGAGCAATTTTCAATAATGTACTTTACCTAAATATTACAGCAAAGCAGATTTTCAAGTAAGAATTTAGCAAACATTCATAATTGCAGTTAATTTTTTACATAAAATCAGAGATTAGACTGTTCCATTTTAATATTAATGACTGAATATTCTGCCATGTGGCTAATATTTAAGACTGGGTAATTAAAAATGATATATAGAAAAGCAGCATTCAATAAATTTAGTATATGCAAAAAAATAGCTTTAATCTAAACTTCCTTTTGATTTTAAATTTCATAAGGGAACTTTGTGAGATTTTATAACTGATTTTTCTATAGGACTGTACATAACACTTGCTAAATACTCTAATTTATTTGTAGATTATTTCGAATTTTATACGTAAAAAGTATTTCATTCACTAAATCATTCCTGCTTTACTGCAGTGGCTAGGACTCCACTACAATGTTGGGTAGCATTCATGAAAATGGGCAGCCTTGCTTGGTTCCCTATCTCAAAGAGAAAAATGGCAAGTTTTACTGCTAATTATGATACTTGCTGTAGGGTTTTTGGTAGATATCCTTTTTCAGATTAAAAATGTTCCTGTTTCTAATTTGCCAAGAGTAAACATGTACAAATATTGAATTTTATCAATTCTTCACCACAACACTTTACCTTTAGTCTGTTGTTAATGTAATTCATTGCTTTTCTCATGTTAAAGCACTTCTTTCAATCTAGACTAACTTCAACTTGATCATGGCAGCTTTTCTTTACACTGTGGTATTTGATTTGCTCGTATTAGAATTTTGCTATCTATGTGAATAAATGACATGGTCCTATGATTTTATTTTGGCGTTATGCTATACCAGCCTCATGAGGAATGTTCCCTTATATTTTTTGGTTATGGCAGATACATTCTTAATATTAACTACTTTTTAATGATATATGTTATTTGTTTAGTTTCTGTTTCAACATTTAATGGTTCTTTTCTCCGGTTAATGAAATTTTTCTTATTTTCTGTATCTCTCAAGATAGAAATAACTGAAATAGCATTTGTTATCCTTTATATTGTTTTCACGTATATAAAAATAAATGCAGCATACTGCCAATTCTTGTTCCCATTTGGTTTCTGACCTTAAAAAACAATTAATTTTTCAAGAAAAAGAATATTTCAAGAGGCTTTTCTCTGGAAACACTTCTTTATGTAACCACAAACAATATTTAATGAAGGGATGTTTTTACTTGCCAATGGTAGGCTTGAGTAGTTAACACAATTCTATCCATCTATCTGTCTATCTATCCATCCATCTATCATCTATCTATAATTGGTGTTTTCTTAATGTTTCAGTTTTACAAGATTAAGGGTTTCTATTAATTTGTTTTCTAACCCCGAAGAGATGCATAGTATTTTAACAGAGCGGAAAAACTAAATCCTATCTAATATCTTTTTTAAAAATTGTGGCATGCTACTCTTTTACGTGACTGTGTTCAAACATAAAAATTTCTAAAGTTTACTACATGCATTTCGGCTGAATTTCTTCCAAATAGATTTTTCTTTTTTTTTTGTATTTGATATTTTCAAGGCAATTTCAGGGCAAAATTTGTATTATATTAGACTCTATTATCAAATTAACACAACTACAGTGTTTTGATAATGGCTTTTGGTAAAACTCAAAAGCACTTTTATACAATAACATAATTGTAATCATTTATTCTAAATATAATTGAGTAGCTCATAATGCTTATTGTGTTGCTGATAGTGATCTTTGCTCAGATTTTTAACCTATTATTTTTAAAAACAAAAACACAAAAGCATAATACAGTCATATACCATAAGTTGAATTGTAAGCAGTTTTATCGTACTAGAGGGCATCATTCTCTTCTATCATAAAATATTTATATGGGGTTTAGCTTCTAAAGATTTTTTGACTTTATGGTAAAATTTATGGGTAATTTAATGTAACCTGAGAAACCTGAAATTCAGTATCTTTTAAATGAAATATAGAATATCCAATATAAAAGTGCCATTATGTTTTGATTTCAATAAATTGTAGATGTGTGACTATTTTTGCTCATTAGCCCTTACTTTGTCTGATACCGTAAGTAGTAATGACATAACAACAACTAAAAAAGCTAATCACTTTGAAAAAATGTTCCTCCCTTCATTGATAGTTGGAATATAACAGCGCTACTACTCAGTTCTTTGATTTGACTAAGCATGAATGAGTCTCTATAAGGTAATTAAGCCAAAATAGTACCTAAATTCTCAAGGATAATAATCTGGCAACAAACCCACAATAATATTTAGCCTTTATGTGAATATACAACAACATAGTATAAAATTTAATTTGGAGTACATTTTTTTAAAGACTAAAAATGTTAGTATAATTTTTAAATTTTATTAATATTTTAATATTTAAAAAGTAATGCTTTGAGCCATAAAGCCTTTTTGCTTGTGGCTACATCAAGTTTTCATTTAGAAATTATAAATATTTCAAAAATAACTGAAATCTTGCTGGTTGTAAATTATTGCTTTTCTTCACTATGGTATGTGACAGTGTAATTCAAATTTTAAATGTAGATTTTTAAAGACTGTTTCTGTAAGCACTGTAGAGTCATGTTTAAACGGGCTAACTGTGGTCAGTTTGAAAAAGTGCATGAACTTGGTAAGTTCTCTACTGCTTTGTTACTTTGCTGTTTTAGAAGATTAATTTCCTAACGGATGTTGGAGCTAATATATGATTATACCCAAAGAAGAAAAAAAAATAGAAAAACAGCTCTCAAATGAAAAAAAATAAAAACTTTGTGTGCATGTATGTGTGTATATTAACCTAACACAAGTTTATAGATTTAAAAAGTATGTGCAGTTAAAGATATCCACTTTGTAAGTGCTGCATATCTCAAAAGAGAAAACATAAAGAATGATGACTGGATACTCCTTTTCATTTGTTAATCGGAAATCAAATAAGACATTTCATAAAGAGAAATGATAGACTTTAATATCTAAAATACAATGTATTTCATCTATGTTTTTATTAGGTAAAAATTAACCATTCCATATAACAAAATAGTAATTTTTAATTACAATCTTAAAACAGAAGGAAGTTAAACAACTCAAGTGAAGTTAATAACAGCAGTTTTTGACAATATTAGTCCTTAAAAGAAACAGTAAAATATTTGGTTTCTATAACAGTCAAAACAATTAGACTGATTAAACCATAAAAATTAATAACTTATAAAAGAATCCATTATGATTCATGCATTGTATGTATTATACCACTTTAAGTTATACCATATTGAATTCAAACGTATAGTTTTGAATTAAGAAATACATTCTTTGCTCTTATTTACTTGTTATCATAACAATTTAAACTGTGTTACAACTAAAATGGTAAAGGCAGTTGTAATAAATACCTGAGGAAGATTTTGAAAGTTTTCCTCTCTAAGAATTAACAGAATTATTAGAGTTATTTCCTAATGCAGTTGGCTCACCTTATCTGTAGGTTCTACATCCATGGCCAAGAAATTGCCGACTGAAACTCTGAAGATGTACAGACTCTTTTTTTTCATGTAATTATTCACTAACCAGTATGGTATAACAACTACATAGCATTTACATTGTATTAAGTGTTATAAATAATCTAGAGATGACTTAATGTATACAGGAGGATGTGCATAGATTATATGCAACTACTATGCCAGTTTATATCAGGGACTTGAGCATCTGCAGATTTTGGTATCTATAGGGGTAACTGGAACCAATCCCCCACAGACACTGAGGGATGACTGTAATTATTTTATTAAAAAGGGAGAAAAAAACTATATTAATATAAACTAGTAATTATGAGATCAGATGCCATTCTTCCATTGAGAATAACTTTTTGCAATGAAGACAGAATCTGCTTTATCTTACTCTGAAATCTGTTACTGCTGGCTGGTTAGGGTAATGTGTTGAGGAATCACAACAAAGCTCAGAGATGAAGTATGCTGTGTGGATTCACCATGTCTATAATGGGAAAAAGAAAGTGGTGGTATCTGTGTTGAGAATATGCTAACCTTGTTTTTATAGATTTTCCCTTAATCTCATAACTATTTCCTAAAATTTACTTTCTGTCATGGTGGGTTCAAATACACAACGTACACAATGACAAAAACTCCTCTGTGGTAGATACTTCTCTAACAAAACTTTAATGAAATATGGTATATTATAAAAGATTATTAGGTGTGACATTTGTAAATTATACCTAAAATAATATATTCTAGTTAAATGGACATAAGAAGAAAATCCACAGGTTGGATCTATATAGTGATTACCATGTAAGTGCTTGCTTGTATCAAAATATCAGTATAGTGATTTATTCTTTTATTTTCCCCTAGAAAATGATTACTACTACTGTATTAATTTCCTAAGGCCTGATCATTCTCTGAGAAATGGCAAATTCCAAAATTTTAAATAAATTAAACATTAATAATGCTTTTCAATAACATAATTTGTGTCAAAACCACTGTTTAAAAATAAAATAAATTTTGTCATCTGGTCTATTTTATAAAAAATTTAGTGCTAATTTTTGTTTCTGAATGGATGTCTTTATACTCTGAAGATTTATAGGCATTATTTTTTAGCATTATTCTATTGCTCTTCTTAATGGAACACCTAAGAAATAACATTTATGTAATAGGATATATATTAATTTTTTACTATAGTTATAAACATTAACTGTAAGAATACAGTGCATTTTATTTAGTTTTTAAGGAGATTTATTTTTCGTACACAAGTGATCAATTTGTCACAACATGACAAGTTATTGATAACAAGTATTTTAACTTACAGGTATGATAAAAGTCTAACATTTACAAAATGGGGATATTACTATATAAAAAATTGAAAGTATTAGTTTTTATGTAAAATATTAGTTTCTTCATTCTGATACAGTGCTAAACTTAATGTAAAGCCAAACTTCAGGACCTACTCTAGACATAAAATAATTTTCATTTCCATGTCTCTAGAATCTAAAATGCTAAGTAAATTTTCTCTATTACTTTTCGTCAAAATAACTTAAAGTATTAAAAGACAACCTAATGACAGTAATAACATTTTTCTTTCCTAAAAAATATTTGGTATCTGATTTAAAGACATGAATAACACAATAGTAACAACTTAAAGATCGACAAGATATACTAAAAATGATATTTGGGCATCATATCTACATAATAATTGTGAAACAACTGTTTTCCTAATAACTGAGAAGCAATCAGTAACTTTTTCATAAAAGGACTTTCATAGCTTCTAAAATATGGAATTCAGCACTGTAAAGCAGAAACACTAAACATGTCAAAACACCTAGCGTGGTATAGGTAACCACAAATCTGCAAATGACACACTGTGCTGTAGATAGCAGGCCGTCCTAACACAATTTGGTCATGGTAAGGTTTAATTTATGTAATTAAATTAAATAAAAAATAAGAGTATTAATTTAAAGCCATTTCAGGTTCACAGCAAAATTGAGAGGAAGGTACAGTGATTTTGTTATTCTTAAGAATTTCCTCATTATTGTAGAGTTATCCAGAGTCTAAATACTAAGACAATAAAGTTGATTAAATTATTTTAAAGACATGACATGAAGCATGTACATTATCTTTAAGGGGTTTTCTTTTTTTCTTCAATAGATATCCCAAATATACACACAATCCTATTTATTTGGGTCTAGGATGTAAATATAATTTAACTGTGTGCTAAGTGCTTTAGGTAGCACAAGCATTTATCTATTGTAAAATGAAAATTCAATTGCCATCAAATCAGAATTTTGATTTCAGTCAGAAATGCAATAAATTATGCCATAAGGAATATATTTGTATACATTTTGTCTCAGATATTTTCTCATGTGGTATTGTGAAGGGTAACAAGTATAATATTATCTGTAAAGAATTTAAAAAAATATTTTTAAATATAACTAATAGTATATACTGATTTTGACAGTTTTCTTTCCAGAACTCAAAACGAAAGCTATTTTTAAAAATTAGGTGATTTTGATAACTATTAAACTTTAATCAATGCATTAAGAAACAGGCAGCTGGCGATCTAATGCATAAGTTGCTCTTTCCTTACTGTATTTTTCAGACCACTTGCGAGTCAGTTCTAGGTAAAGACCTGGTTTATGAGGACGGTAATCTAGGTACACTGTATTACTGGTTCTTTTGGGAACAGCTTTTTCAATCTGAGTTCCTTCATGCCACTCATTAAAAGAGGTGATAGAAATTAAGCTGGGGCGTGTCTGAAGTGCGGCACTCAGACCAATTTCATAATACTTCCCATTGATTCGGTTCCGAGTGTTTTGCGTGTTCCATGGACGGATGCTGGTATCTATGTATCCTGGGCCCACACTTGGGATAAATATTAAGTTGTATTTATCACAAAATAATTTTAGGCTAGCCCAATTCTGATGTGATGAGCCATAAGTAAAGCCATTTGTGGCAAAATATGTGTAAATTCCATCAAAACCACTTTGAAGAATATCATACTTATGTTTTTCTTCTACCAGAAGGGCAATAAACAGTCCATCATAAGGAGAATTGCGAATACTCCGAGACCCTGAGGTGGTTAACAGATTGGCCCATTTTTCAGGCTTGGTAATATAGGAATCATAGACATAAAACATAGGAAGAGCATTGCCAGTCTTCGTCTTGTACCTGTAAAAGGCCGGATGATTTCCATATCTAGAAAATAAGCATATATAAAAGTGAAATGAATATTCACAACTAATTTGCCACAGACAAAAACTGTTTACTGAAAATGAAGGAGTCAGTGCAGTTTGAGCACACTGCTCCATTTCTTAGGGGAATCAGTTGTGTAAGTGTAATAATTAAAAATGCATTTTTAATTTTACACATTAGAAAATGAGATACTGGATGCATTACCAAACAAGTATTAACCATCTCATATTGAGGTTTACAAATGATGACTAATGCCATAAAAAGCCTATGTCTCTACATTATAAATAATACTCTACATAATACCTAAACTGCTTTTTTATCTATCAGTGATAAATGTTCTACTGTTGCTGACAAGTTTCTTTGTAAGACTATGGCATCTGTCACAGACTATTATCAGTAAAATTCTTTCAAAAAATGAAAACTGTATTAATAAATTCTTTTTGATCAGGCTAGATATAAATGAAAATATCAGCTCTGGGTCTACTGTGTTAAAAGAAGTAGTTCACTTTTAATAATCTGAACCTTCTTTTTAAAAAGATAAAGCTATATTCTGAAGGTTTAGAAAATAATGTCATTTTAAAATATCAAAACTACAGAAATCATAAATAGCCTATAAACCTGTAAAACAGTAAAAACAGCAATCTTCCAAAAAGAAAGTGAATTATAAGAAACTTCAGCAATGTTCTTCGAAATGATGGTGACATTCATTACAATAACAATTTAATTTTATTAAAAATGGAATAATCATAAATCATTCAAATCTCAAATATAATTTAATGTACTATTCTTAAAACAATAATTATCACTGGATAATATAACAATATTTATAAATATTGAAGAAACTCACTTGTCTATAATATACTTGACATTTTTGTACATGTTTTGATCATCTCGATTGCTATATGGTTCTATGTGAAAAGTAACCTAAAACAAACAATAAAATCAGTTAGGGGATAAATTATCTATAATGTAAAATTAGAAGTATACTTAATATATTTAATAAAGTAACTGATTTAATCACCTTAATTAAAGATGAATATTTATTGAACACAGAAACTACCAGAGAATTTTTACCAATAAAATTTACTGCTAAATAACATGCTAAACATTTTATATTATTATCTTGGTTAATCTTCACAACTCCCTAAGGTATTTCTGTTTTCTTAGTGAGGTAATCAAAGATAGACAGAACCTTAAGAAAGGTTCAGTAAGTTGTTCCAGGTCACCCAGTTTGTTGGAGGTAATATTGATGATCTGAATTCCGAGTTCAAATGCTTAACTGCTGTGCAATGCTTCTTTTTATGTTTACTCCTTATAAAAATGTTTCTTACATATTTGTATCCCATATAATATATATAGGAAATACTCTATATTCAGATATATGTTTCTTTTAGGAAAAAGACCAAAAAAATATGGTCCAGAAAAATCTGGATTTTTTTCAGGCATGTGACCATTAAGCTTAAATTTAAATAGAAGTCATTAGCAAATTTATTTACATATAAATTCTTCCATATCATTAAAACAGCATTTTACAAAATAATATACATTAACTTCTATTAAAGAATTTATAATGAAATCGCTTAAAAATAATATCCACTAGTGTTATAAAGGACATTTTTCATGATGCCTAGGTATTTATGGTTTGGATATCCCATACACACACACACACACACACACACACACACACACCTACATACATATATACGCACACATACATACATTATATATATATATGTAAACATAGAGAGCAGTAATTACAAATATTTTTAAAATACTGTGCACAGACTAAAATTTTTTAACTTAAGGTTGGCTATACATAAATCAAGACAAACTAATTATGGCTAGTAAAACCATTCTGTATGCTACTTCTAACTAGTAAGGTAAAAAATACAGAAGATACTTCTCTTAGATGACAATCTATTTCAGATTCATAAAACAAAGAATGAGGATTTTCACTTTTATTCCTAGTTTTACTGACTTACCAACATCAACTAAAAATCTTTATGGCAGTCTAATAAATGTATTGATACTGTTTTAATTTTAGGTTTCAGGCTCTATGATGTATTTATGGAACTAGAGACTTCTATTGCAATATGAAACTCCTCTGTTTTCAATTACCCAATTAAAGCAAAATGTATTTTACATTAATCAGTGCTACTTGTTTTCACATAATTAATTTTAAAGTTAAATAATATTTAAAAAAAATATAATTTTCTACTTTAAATGAGATTACAGTAATATTATAAAAGTAAGTTTCTGTCATAAAAAACTAAGGTCAAATTAATTTTTGCAGCATATTGTTAGTATTGCCAGGGTAGTAACTGCTAGGGCAGCTAGATTTCTCAATAACTTTGGTATTTGCTTTTTAAATTCAGTTGAAAGCAAATTGCCTAGTGTATAGGTATTTTCATACTATTACATAATGTTTCCTTGGGTAATTCTTCCTTCAGTTACATCACTGTGTTTTCTAAATTTCCATTTTATACATAAAGGACACCATATTTAAGCAATATCCAACTTGAAATATCCTATATCAAAATGAATTTGCTTTTACAGCTGCAAACAACAAATAGCATGCTATTTTTGTAAAGCGCAGATCAATATATTTAAAGTAAATATAGTATTGATAAGTATAAAATATTTAAAATTTTCCCTCATGTATTTCTAATTTCTTAATTATAATAAAATTACTTTGCAATTTTTTTTTTTTTTTTTTTTTTTTTTGAGACGGAGTCTCGCTCTGTCGCCCAGGCCGGACTGCGGACTGCAGTGGCGCAATCTCGGCTCACTGCAAGCTCCGCTTCCCGGGTTCACGCCATTCTCCTGCCTCAGCCTCCCGAGTAGCTGGGACTACAGGCGCCCGCCACCGCGCCCGGCTAATTTTTTGTATTTTTAGTAGAGACGGGGTTTCACCTTGTTAGCCAGGATGGTCTCGATCTCCTGACCTCATGATCCACCCGCCTCGGCCTCCCAAAGTGCTGGGATTACAGGCGTGAGCCACCGCGCCCGGCCATTACTTTGCAATTTTAATTAATGATGTGATCTAGTCTCCATCTCTCTATTCCATTTGGAAAAATCAATTAGATCAATGTTAAAATAAATTTTAAAATAACAGAATTCTATACATAAAATGAAATGTCTTTCTTATCTTTAAAGAATAAGAATATAAACATTCCCTCATTTCATGTTTTTAATTTTGACCTTTCCTGTCTCTTCCCTACCCTGCATTTTAATAACTTTAATAAATAAATTTTAATAAAATGAACTTTTTTGAATGAAAATCTGATAACTTTCTCCTTCTCCAACTCTATTCTCTACCTTCACCCCTGCACACTCCCCTATCCCCTGCCACAACAAAATTGAGGTAGGTCTTCCTACTCCTATGTGGTGCCATAATACCTCATACTTTTCTCTTCCTGAAATTTACTTGTCTTTGTGTCTGACCTCCAGTAGATTACAAGGCATTTTAGGGAAAGAGATAATACTTCATCCTTCTTCTTAATATTGTCAGCATCTGGGACTGTATCTGACACGTAGCAGGTGCTAAATGAATGAATGCATGCATAAATAAATGGACTAATGATTTGCATGCAAAAACAAACAACAGTTAAACTCTTAAGTCTGTCACTTATACTGGATTTAGGTAAGATTCCCAAAGTTTCTGCCATGAATTCACAATATTCATTTAACAAGGAAAAAGAAAAAGGAGAGGCCATGACTAATATAACATGTTTCAAATGTAGGTGAAAATCATTTAAAAAAGAATCACGGACATACTTATATTCATGTTTCACATGGTTGAAATCTGCATAAGCCTGAAAAGCAGATAAAATGACTCTAGAGCCATATGCAAAGAAATAATGGATGTTGATAAACCTAGTATAAGAAATGTGATTTCTGCATAAAGTAGAAAGAAAATATGCTACTTTAAAATAACATACTAAATTTATTAAAATGAAAGAAGATCACCAGGGCTGAGTTGGTTCTTTCCCCTATAATCCTAAGCAAAAAAAAAAAAAAAAAAAAAAAAAAAATCACTGAATCTGCCTAATTTTCTTTTACTTAGATGAATGATTTAATTCAGTCAAGTTTTGATTAGATAATGCCATGTAACAACCCCACAATCTCAGTGGCTCTAAAAGACAAACATTTGCTTTTCGAACATAAAATCTATGAACTGGCTTATGATGGTTCTGCTCCAGGCTGGTTCAAATCAGCTCCACGTGTCTGTCATTCTGAGTCCTAGGCAGAAAGGGGCATGCTTTTCTTATAAAAGAGAATAAGAGCATAATCATGCAAGCACATAGTATACATTATCTCTTCTCACATCTCATCAGCCAAAGCAAGCCATAAGGCCAAACCCAACAACAACAGGGCAGGAAGTATACTTACTCTTTGCATGCAGGGGAAGGAAAACCAGATTATTTGCTAAACAATGACGGAATCTACCAAATATTTCTGTCATGTCTTACTCAAAAAATTGTTCCGTTGCTGTGTTCTTAATGGTGCAGGATATAGAGGAAGGAATCCAGCCCTGATTTTTACACTCTCTGCAAAACCAGCCTACTAAATGACAGTTATAAGTGCAACAGCCTTTGCTCTAGCAAACATGCAGACAAGTATACTTTAAAAGAACAGAAACTAAATCGCTTTGAAAAATCAAGATTTAAATTTTAGTTTCACTCATTTACACTTCCAAAAAAAAACCTAGTCACATTTGCTAAAGATAATGAAAAATAACTAAAGCACCAATCATTTCCTTTTCTTGCATGTTTGTTTATAATTTAAAAGGCACTTACTTAAAATAACTCTTGGTTGAAGTTAACAAATCAAAATTACAATTACAAAATATTTAATGACTAATATTAGTAAAAACATTATATAATCAAAATGAATGAACTATAACAAAAGTTTAACTGTGAGACGGATTCATTCCCTAAAAATTCTCCATCCATTTAGTATTTCCATGCTTTGAAGACTAGCAAGAAAAAAGAGATGTTACTAATGAACGCATTTTACACTTAAAAGTTTTAGATGTGGTCAGTTATGTGCATTGGAGGCTCCAATTTGTCAGCACACAATCTACAACATCATTAATCTTTTCCTATCAGATTGCCTTAGCACACTGAATAATTCTAGTAAGGTACTGTCATTCATTAAACATATTAAAATTTCCTTATATTAGCAAGAAAAGGGAAAGTTTTCCATTCTTTAAAAAAACAGGATTTACTGCATTTTATTGAGTTAGGAAAAATGTCTGTTCCACAACAACAGAAATCATAGACAAATCCAATAAAACTATCTTATGGTTTCATTGTCATTGTACAAATGAAGGGGATAAGCCAAGAAGATCAAGGAACTAATATAAGATTCCAGAGCTACTCAGTTAGAACAAGCTCCAGTCTCATGATTCCAGGTCTATTCTTTGTCTATACATAGTTCCTCACCATACACGAGGCCAAGAAACTGTTCTAAAAATTTTGGAAAACATTAGTCTATCGTGTTCCAAGTTTTTCTGATCATTAGATATAAAATCCCTAGCACAGAGAGATCAAGTATGCTGGCAACATTAAATAGGCAATTAGTGGTCGAGCTCTTTGCCACACTCTCCTTCTCTACACAGACACTTTAAACAGGAGAAAAAGCCAACCAATCCTCATATATCATAACATTTTCATTTTCTCTTTCAAAACTTCCTGAAAGTACTAAAATAGCCAGTTTCTTGAGCTTCCATCTTCCAGGATTTTGGCAGGGCCTGGACAGAAAAGCAGCTCTTGGGCTTGTTTTGTGGAAGATAAATCAATCACTTACCCAACCTCAGCCTGGGCACCAGAACCTGGAGGCTTGCCTATTTGCAGATTTCAAATGCCAATAAGAACTCACTGAAAGGCACCAAGGGACATGGCAGGTGACAGCTCTTGCTAGACAGCTAATTTGAGAGATGCTGTCTTAACAGTTTCAGGATAGTAAATCAGAAAGAAGAGGCAGCTTTATGGACAGAAATAAAAAAATGCTTGCCTATTTAGCTCTTTCTCACTCCCTACAGTTCCATTTCTATTCTCCAATAACTACTCAATCTCTAGGCTGCAAAAGGAAAATTAAGACAAAACTAATGTTTCACATTTTTATTTGAAACGAAATATTTCAACAGTGGTCCATAACATATCTTACAGGGCTCAATTACCAGTATTGGACAAACCAGATTGTCCTCCATTAGAATATAACTGCAAGAAGTTACAGAGCAAATAAAAAGCTTCAGCAAATTTTAAGAGTGGTTGCAATCTCAGAGTGGTCTCTAGTTAAAAGAACCTACATCACTTTTTTTTTTTTTTTTGAGATAGACTCTCACTCTGTCGCCCAGGCTGGAGTGCAGTGGCACCAATCTCAGCTCACTGCAATCTCTGCCTCCCAGGTTCAAGCAATTCTCATGCCTCAGCCTCCTGAGTAGTAGCTGGGACTACAGGTGTAGTATATCCATCAGATATAGTGTTTGAAATAAGATACTAAGAGACACCCTTTATCAAGCTAAAGAACTTTGGTTACTAAGGACTTCATTAACAATGAATTTTTATTTCCTAAAATTTTCAGTATCTCTTAAGATAACCATGTTTTACCTTCTTTAAATAATCAATGAAGTTTTATTTACTTAGTGCTTACTCTGTGCCAGACAGCAATCTATGTTTTACATATATTATCTAATATAATCTTTATAACCATTCTGTGTGTAAGGAAGGTTTTGTTGCTATTTCTATTTTAGAGATGAAGAAGCTGAGACACAAGTCATTTATAAAGCTACAAGGTGGTTGAGCCAGGATTGAATGCAGACCTGAATTTAGATTCAGATTTCATATGATTGGAACCATTCTTAAATCCTTGCTAATAAACACTTCTTCTCAAAATTCCCTCTAGGAATTTTGAATCTATTTTCATTGGTAAGATTAGTCTGTCTCTTTCTTGTTCTATCCTTTCTTAGTTTTAAATAAAAATTGTGCTATTGTGGAATAAATTTGGAAGTTTTCTGTGGTTGCCATTCTTCAAGATGGCCCCCCGATACCCATCTCCTGGTATTCATAACTTTGCAGTTCCCTCCCACATTGTGCCATGGTTGTTTTATCCGTAGATAAAACAACAGAATGGGACAGAAGTATTAACACGTCATTGCCAAGATTTATGTCAAAAAACAAAACAAACAAAAACAACCCTGTAGCCCCTATATTAGACTCTCTCTCAGATCTTTCACTCTAGTGAAGCTGGAGGCCCATATATAGAAGTACAGAGTCTCCAGTTCACCTGCTGCAAAGAACTGAGGTCTGTCATCCACCACATGAGAAAGTCTGTTAGTGGATCCTCTAGCCTCAGATGACTACAGCACCAGCCAATAGCTTGCCTGTAACCTCCTTCAGAGACCCTGAACCAGACACTCCCAAATAAGCCACTTCCAGATGCTTGACCCTTAGAAATTGTGTGAGGTAACAAATGTTTATTGTTTTAAGCTACCAAGTTTTGGAATAATTTGTTATGCAGCAATAGATAGTGAGTATACTTGACACTGTATTTCAGTTATCATAAAAATCAACTATTCTGAATACAACTGAGAGGTAAACCTGACACTTTGGGGAAGACATTTGTTCAATTATCTTTTATACGTTTTTTTCTAGGATAGTCAATTCAGATTCTTTAAACCTCTTTCTGCACCAAAAAAAATTAATTTTAGTATTTTCCTATAAAACTACCATATAAATTTTAAATAGACTGATATAAAATCTTAAACTCTCTTCTGAAACTATAGGTATATTTCTTTTCAATTTTTGCTGATATGTTTTCTCAATTTCTTTTCTTTTTTAATCTCACCAATGGCTTGCCTATTGTTTTTTCCCCAAAAGTGGACAATAGTAAAGATTAATTTATCCAGACTACTGATTTTGAAGGACTTGTATACTATTTAATTAATTTCACACTTCATCTATCATAGTTCTTTCTTCTACTATGTCTTATTATTTAGGTCCCATTGGTATTGATAATGCAATAATCTCAGTGCTATTTATATCACTTAAATTTCAGAGTTATTCTCAATTATGTTATTAAAATTTTAATAATTTTATACTTTCTAAATGGTTTGGACTTAATTATTAACATTCCATGGTACTGAATGTGGTCAGAGAATGCAGACTCTATGGTTATAATTTTTATGAATTTATTAGAATTAATGTTGCTACCTAATACATGACCAATTTTTAAAATGTATCTTTGGATATTAAAAACAGTGCTTATTTACTTGCTATTCAGTATAAAATTTTCTTTTGTAGTGCTATTTAAATACTTTTAATCATCACTCCTATTTGTTTCCATGATTCATTAATTTCTAAAAGAAATAAAATCTTAAGACTGTCAGAAGTGTTCCCTCATTTGCAACACACATTAATTTCTGCATCAAATATACTTGATCTTTCTGCTGTATTCTATATTTACTCAGGTGTGTATGTGTATGCACATTAAATAAGGTTTAAATGAAAATTGGATTTTGAAAAATATTTGAGCAAGTTTATTTTTTAACTACTTTATAAATATGCAAAGTTACATGGTTAATACTTGTTTTTAGATTTTTGACATCTAAGATATTTAGACATATAAATCTTCACTACTATATTATCTTCACAAAAGAACCTTTCAATCCCTTTCTACTATAAAAAAATAAAACATTAGAAACATAGTAAAGAATCTCTAAAATATAATTTAGATAAGATTGAAATTCCTATTATAGAAATTTTCTTTATGAAATATAGTATTTAAAAGATTCTAAGTCATTATCATTTTTAATTAAAATTACTATTTCAAAAATTGTTATTACTCTCCTCTTGTCCAAAAGAATTAACTTATGTATAGCTTGAAAATAAAATAAAATACCTTTAGGTTATATTTATGAGCTTTATCCAAAATAGTGGGTACCAAGTTATCAGTAGGTTCTCCATTTTCATCATTTACATCAGGTGGGTACCAAGAGAGGGCTAGTACACCTAATAGAAAAGACCAAAAAGAAAGGGAAAAGACAAGAACATGAATGCAGATATTCTTAAAAAGGCACAGTAAGTACCAAAGAGTTAACAATAGAAGAACATATTTATACGAGGTGGTTTTGTTAAGTTCCTTCAGAATACATATGGCTATTTGATCACTTTGTCAATATTTATGACCTCTTTATCAGGCATTAATAAGCTTTTGTAAAAGTGAACAGACTTTACATTTTAGAGTAAGTTTTAGGTTTACATAAAAATAGCAAAGAAAATATGGAGTTCTCATATACTCTTCCTCCTACCTGCCCCAACCCTCCACACGGTTTCTCCTATAATTAACATCTTTCATTTGCTACAATTGATGACCCAATATTGAAAGATTTTTATTCACTAAAGTCCATAGTTTACATCAGGGTTGACACTTTGTGTTGTACAGTTCGACAGGTTTTGACAAATCTATTATACCATATGCTCTCCATTAGAGTAGCTGAAAAACTAGTTTTACCAGCTCTATAAACCTCCTGTGCTATACTGATTCATCCCCGTTCCCTCTCCCCCTCACCCCTGCCAATAACTAAGCTTTTTGCTGCCTATAATTTTGCCTTTTCCAGAAGGTCATATAGTTGGAATTACAAAGTATGTAGCTTTTTAGAACTGGCTTCATTCATTTAGCAACTTGAATTTTTAGGTTCCTTCATACCTTTTCATAACTTGATAGCTCATTTCTTTTTACTGCTGCATAATATGCCATTGTATTTATTTTATACATTCACCTAATGAAGGACATCTTGGTTGCTTCCAATTTTTGCCCATTATGAGTAAAACTGCTATAAACATTTATATGCTGTTTTTGTGTAGATCAATACCTTTTAACAGAAGATTCTAACATAGTAAAATAATTACTGTTCCTCTCTGTAGTGCCTGCCTACTTATTTTTGAACTGATAAATTATGTGTTAGAAGCATAAATTACATGAAAATCACTAACTGGAGACGGAATATTTAAGATGAATTAATTCAAAGCCTCATTACGTATACAAAGAAATGGACAGTCATTAGAAAGATTGCACAAATTTCTAGATAAATAAACAGACTCTTTAAGGCAGAGAAATAAATAATAATGGTACCAAAAGAGAAGCATATGGAAATTAAGAAATTGAAGGTAAGAAACTGCTGGAGAACTAAATTTTAAGACCTAAGTTTTGTGCTAGCCGCCATGTACAAATAAGTAAGTCCCATCTAGGACAACAAAATCAAAGTTAATGGAAAAATAATCCTTATGTCCCCTATCCACTCTGAAAATAAGAATGGCAACTAGAACGAAACATAGAAAAAATAACCTATAACATATGAGGCTTTAGGGAAACTGGCTAGCCAGAGGAAGGCATATCCTAGAGAGAAATGCTGGTGAGAAAAGTGTCTGGAGACAATCCAACATTTTATAAGCGATCACTTACAATCTTGTAAGATTACTAGCCCAGCTTATAAGAAGAATATCACCAATGAAAATAAGAATGACAACAAAAAGTTTTCTCAACATGGGACCTACGAAAAAATTATTTTATGCAGAAAATGAAAGGAACAAAATAAGAAAAAATATTAAACAACAGAAAGATTATGCTATGAATCACATGAAAATTATAAGCAAAACATTCTTCCATAAAAGTAAAAACAAAACAAGATTCCTGTTTCTAATAATAGCAGACTAGTCTAAAATAACAGTTGGTCTAATAGTAAACCAAGCACTCTCCATGAAAATAACCATTATTATTATATAAAACACGGGGAGAAAATGTCTTAAAGAGCTGAAGAGAGTAAGAAATGTCCTGGCCAAATTGAAGGGAAAATGTGAAACCAGAAAGATAAGTGAGCAAGGAGGTCTGTTTGCCCCAAGCAAAATTGGTACAAGTAAACCAACTCTCAAAAGCAGTGAATTAAACTGCAGGTTCACAATGCTTGTACAATCCTCTAGCTTTAGACCTAATTTAAGGTAACCAGAAATGGTATTCTAAACAGTCACCAGGCAGAAGCAAAAGAAAATCCTTTCTGGAGGAAGGCATCTTCTTCCTGGGCCTCAAATTATTTACAAAAAGTATTTCATAAAGAACAATAAATAGTATACAATCAAAGATAATTAAGAACACAAAGAATAAAACACCATGCACAAGAATTGGCAGAAACAAGACAACAGCAACATGCAACAACTTCAGGTATCGCCATTACACACACTTCTAAAAATTACCTTCATAGTTTAAAAAAGATAAAAAGCACTTACCTTTAAAAATGCAGAAAATCATTACTTTTGCCCTTTTCCTAATTCATCTACCACTCTTCTATTTCTTTTTGTGAGAGGCAGGGCAGTATAGTAGAATATGCATGCGCTTTGAACATGTATTCAAATATCTCACCACTTATCAGCTACATGAACTAAGGGCAAGTTAACTTCTTGCTTCTGTGGCCTCACCATCAAAACACAGATTATTCTTACCTTTCAGGATATATTTTAAGTACACACATAAAATTCCACTTACTAGACTACAGTATTCAAGAAATATTCGTTCCTTTAACTACAACATTCTCTGTTTTTTCCCTCACATTTTTCCCTCCCTCTTCAACCATACCCCTCTCCTAGCACGCACATACACATGTACACACACATGAGCTTTTGCTTTTTTTTTTTGAGACGGAATCTTGCTCTGTTGCCAGGCTGGAGTGCAGTGGCACAATCTCAGCTCACTGCAACCTCCGCCTCCCAGGTTCAAGTGATTCTCCTGCCTCATTCTATCGATTACAGATAGAATCCCTCCTCTGGGATTACAGGCACCCACCACCACACCTGGCTAATTTTTGTATTTTTAGTAGAGATGGGGTTTCACCATGTTGGCCAGGATGGTCTTGATCTCCTGATCTCCTGATCCTCCCACCTCGGCCTCCCAAAGTGCTGGGATTACAGGCGTGAGCCACCACACCCAGCCAGTCTTTTCCATCTTTATACTATCATCTCCATTCCACCATTTCTTTACTCTCTTCCTCAAGCTTGATTACATTCTAGTCCTATGCTCTCCAAAATAATACCCATATCTACCATATAAATTAAAATTTAAAAGAATTAAGTTTTCTTGCACACTCAACTAGCTACGTTTCAAGTGTTCAATAGCCACATATGACTATGTATCTACTGTTTTAGGCAGCACAGATAGAGAATATTTTCATCATCACAGAAAATTCTACTGGATAGCGCTGCCATATTATTCTGATTCTCCTAATAAATTAACCATCCCATTCTTGGTCTAGTAATTTCTCTTCCTCTTTTATCCTCTTTGCAAGTATACTCTATGGCTTTGGAGGAATGTTCTTTCTTCTCCCTTACAATGTTGTTATATTTCAGCTTCTTTATTGCATCAATTATGACTTCCAGATATCTAATTCTATCCCTATACTGTGATCCACAGCCCAATTAATCATTATACAGTGTCTTCTGGACTGTGGCACTGAATAAATACTAGCCTGGGAACCACGCCAGTGATTGTCGTACTTCTGAGGAGTGTTGGGAATTTACAATGGCAGTGAATCCTTGATAGTAACCAGAGAAGTGTCTATAAAATAAGCCAACTGAGTATCACTTATAAGTAAAATCTATTACTCTGTATTTCTGTCATCCTAATTGCTTAGCAAACTCTAGGATGCTCTTTGAAGTCCATTCTTGAAATATTAGCAAACTAAATGCAAAAACTCATGTCATGTTGCTCATGTCACCCCTCCATGCCACTTATTACAGGACCTTCAATATAATTGATAGTCAATTTTTTTTGTTGTTAGTAAAGTGATGCATTCAAATAGGATAACAGTTAAGAATATAGGGTATAAAAATCAGATAGGCCTAGAGAATCGAGTTCTTATTCTGTTATTTGATAGATGAGTATCTTTAGGTAAGTTATTTTACTTAAGTTTCCACATCTGTAAAATGTAGGATAAGGCCTGTTTTAAAAAGCACAAATGAGAGAATGCATCATGCAGAGTAAAACACCTAAAAAGTGATTATAAATAACACTTAATAACAAGAAGACAGTATAATGATGGATAAATTTGGATACCTTGAGCCCCAGAAAACTTGTTATGTGTTCATAGGAAATTTAGAGCTTCTTTTGAACATCTCAAACATTCTTTCAAACTAAAGCTTTAAGAGAAAAAAAGGCAAGCTCATTTCTAGACGTAACACAATTTTCACTATCTTACCCAGGGTGACATACTTTTAACAAAATTTTACAAGGTACAGAAAAAAAAGCAAGAAAAACAATTCACTGACAAGAAACAAAGCAATCAATAGAAACAGACTCACAAATGAGATACGTTGGAATCATCAGAGAGAGAATATAAAATTACTGTAATGAATATCTTAAAGGATCTAATGGACAAAGTAGCTAACACACAAGATCTGGCAAATTTCAGCAGAGATATGGGAACTATAAGAACAAATAAAACAGAAATGCCAGGAATGAAAGACTACTTAAAAAGATGAATTAATGCCTTTAATAGGCTCATTAACAGAGCTGAGGAGATAATCAGGAAACTTCAAGGCAAGTCAAAAGAAATTACCTTATCCAAATTACCATAATGAGAAAAAAGACTGGGGAAAACAATAGAACAATGCATTTAACAGTTGCGAGATAAATATCAAAGTTCTAGTACACATGTAATTGGAAACCCAGAAGTAGGAGGTTTATTTGAAAAAATAATCAGGCTGGACACGGTGGCTGACGCCTGTAATCCTAGCACTTTGGGAGGCCCAGGCAGGTGGATAACGAGCTCAGGAGATCGAGACCATACTGGACAACATGGTGAAACCTTGTCTCTACTAAAAGTACAAAAATTAGCTACGCGTGGTGGAGCACATCTGTAGTCCCAGCTACTTGGGAGGGTGAGGCAGGAGAATTGCTTGAACCCAGGAGGCAGAGGTTGCAGTGACAGTGAGCTGAGATCAGGCCACTGCACTCCAGCCTGGGCGACAGGGTGGGACTCCATCTCATAAAACAATAACAATAATCACTAAGAATTTAGCAAAATTAATAAAAGACACAAAGCAACAGATTAAAAATTCAGAGAACACCAAGAAGGATAAATAACAAAAAATAACAGGAGTAACAAGTAACCATACCATGTTTAGACTGCTAAAAAACAAAATAGAAAAAAGAAAAAAAGAAAAAAATTAAATGCAGCCAGAAAACAACAACAGCAACAACAAAACATATCCATCCAAGAAAATGAGGATATAAAAAGATTTTTTTAAATTACGGCAGACTACTCATCAGAAACCATGAAAGACTGAAGAAAAAGAAGAAAAAAAGAAATGGAATACATTTTCAAAATTCCAAAAGAAAACAATCCCCTAAAACCTGCCCATTGAGAATTCCATAGGTGATGAAACATCTTTCAAAATAAAGGCTACAAACAAAATTTGAAAATATTCATTGCAAGGAGACCAGTAAAACAAGATAAAAGAAATTTTTAAGAGAGAAAGAATATGATATTAGACATACACTTGGATCTACATTAAAATATGGATGGGGAACAGTAGAAATGGAATAAATGTAAAAAACATTCTTACTTTTAATCACTGTGAAAAACAACTGATTATTGAAAAGAGTGATCAGCAAACTATGACCCATCGGCCAAATCTTGCCTTTTACAGGCCAATTCATCTATATATTTGTCTATCTATTGCTTATAACCATTTTCACACTATAAGGATAGAGCTGAGTGGTTGCAAAGAGAGAGAGTGAGGGACTCACAAAATCAAAAATATATATTAGGCAGTCCTTTACAGAAAATGCTTGCCAACCTCTGGCCTACAGCAATGATAGTAAAATACCATTTCTTATGTGACAGAATTACGACAATAGCAAACTATGGGAGGGAAACATAGGGAATATCAGTGGTGAAGACCTTACATTACACATTAAGTATATATTATTTGCAAGTAGACTGTCTCCTTGCAATGAATACTTTCAAATTTTTTTTGTAGCCAAAGGTTGGGCATCTATAGCAATATGAAAGCTTTATGGAATATCACCACTCTACAGTTATAAATATAACCTTTAAACTTAATGCAAATAGTTATTATAAAAGGAAATTTTATGACATCATATTAGATGTTATTAGGTACATTTAAACTTTATGTGTCTAATTCATCTCATTGTGACTTCTACTTTTATGTATAAATTTTTAAAGGCAGGAGATGCAGAAGTAAGAATTGTAACCTTACTAAAACAAATATGTCATACTTTCAGGAAATATTCTAATGTTGAAATCCATCCAGTGTTTTTAAAGCAACAATGATGAAAACAAAGGAACTGGGAAATGTGACTTGCTCATTTTTATGTCCCTAGAATCTAGCACAAGCTTGGAACGTCATGGAAAATCAATAAATATTTAGTGCTAAACTGAAACAATGGGAAGATAATTTTAAAGTCATAGAGTACATTATGTTTTGCTAAATGTAGCAGTTCTCTATTTTGCCATAACAAACTATCACAAATTTAGTTGCTTAAAACAACGTAAATTTATTACCTTACAGTTTTGCATGTCAGGAGTGTTGACATGGGTCTTAATATGCTAAGATCAAGGCCAGGTATTGGACTGGATGACATTCCTTTCTGGAGGCTCTAGGAAAGAATCCCTTTCCTTGCCATTCAAGCTTGTAGAGGCTACCACATTCTTTGGCTCATGAACTTCTTGTTCCATCTTCAAAGATAGCAACAGGGGGTCGAGTCTCTCGTGCATCCCTCTGACTCTCTTTTCCCTCTTCTTCTATTTATAAGGACTTATGTGACTAGATTAGCTGTACCCAAATAATGAAGGATAATGCCATCTCAAGTTCAGATGATTAGCAATCTTTTGCACCTGCAACCCTAATTCCCCTTTTGCCAAATAAAATAATATATTCACAGATTGTGGGAATTACGATGTCCACATCAGAAAATGGGGGCTATTTTCTGACCAGTCTACTAAAGTTTTAGTAAACTGTATAAAAAAAAGAAGGCATTCATCTGTTACTTTTAGAGTTGTAATACAGCAATACAAGAGGATAGAATACATGATACGTAATATTTTACTTAAAAGACTTGAAAAGGATACAAATCTACCATATGCCATTGTAATATATCTGATACATTATATATAATAATTGGATTTTAAACATAACATTAATAGTTCATTTTAATTTTATCATTCTTTTCAATGAAGGGTTGAGCCATTAGGATTTATGCCAACCACACTTAATTGTAAAAGCAGAAAATCAACCAACTTGTACTCTGCGATATAACAGCATAATTACTTCACACAGCAATTCAACTTAAGATAAAAAGAAGGCCATTTATATCAAAGGAAAAATATGAATGTTAAATATGTAGTCAAAGCACAGTCAACCATACAACAATTTAAACAGCCTTCATTTACTATCTTCTTCAATCCAAAGAATGCCTGAGTCAGCATGCCAGCTCCATGGATTAAATTAGGGTTTTGAGTCAGTATTCCAACAGTCAAATTATTTTCTGCCTGGTAACAATGAGTATAATTCAATATTTAACTCATTAAGAAATTATTTCTTTATTTATAAATTGATTATGTCACTTTTATTATCAAGTTTATTTTTTAATTTTGTCTAGGAGAAAATCCATCAAAAAGTAAAATATTTGCATCCGTAGTGAAGCTGTCAACATTTAAAATTGAAATGACTGTATTACTGTCAATGTTTAGAAATAATTAATGTTCATATACATGATACAATACTAAAATATTATACAGGGAAAAAGGTCTTTATAAATATGAATAGGCATAAAAATGTTTACTGAAACTTTTCTTCCTGATCACAAACTATACCAAAAATAGTGTAACACATATATTTCTATTTAAAATTTATATTTACCACATATATTATTTATATATGTTTATGTATTACAAATATGTATTAATATTAGTTATATTTATAATGGAGGGGAAAAAACCCTCATTGTATACTATTCAAATTGCAAATGAAAATTAAAACTTTAAAGAACAACCATTTCCTCTGTCAATCTAGCATAGTTTTTTTAGCCATATCAAGACAGTCTTGAATAAAGACTTAAATGTGACACAAATTTTTTGTAAACAATAGAAAAAATATCATTTGAAAAGATTCTCCTCCCAAAAGCAAATTAGTAGAGACAGACACACACACATACATATTGACCACACAGAAGTCAATGCTGTCTTAACTGACCCAAGCTATTTTATGTCATAATACATACAGAACATAGAAACTAAATCTCTAACTATACTATAAAGTTAAATTTTATAAATACTTGAAAAAAGTTAGTCCATACAAGGAAAACAACTCATCTTGCACATATCTGATATAGATTCATAGAATTCTACATTGTTTTGTTCATCAAAGACTCTTGTGTTTCTCTAAATACATATCAGCTCCATGGTGAATCCATACCTTTATGTAGAGCTGGAAAAATGTAAGAATACCCAATTTCTTGTTCTAGCTCTACTGGTAGGGGCACTAAAAAGATAAATGAAACTGAAACTGGAAGGTTTTACAAAGACTATATTAACAAACTGAAGAATTTTCAGGCACCAAGTTATATTTTTTCTGTAATTCACCTGTGGGACAATATGACTCTATCTAAATATATGTAATTGGAGTGCCAGAAGGAAGGAGAAGAGAAAGGTGAGAAGCGGTGGGAACAACAATAAGAATCAGTTAAGTTAAAGGGGCGTATTGTAAAAAGGTACAGTTATAAATAAAACAAATGAATAACATAAGCCAGAAGAAAATATAAAACAGAATAATACGCATATGTAATGTAAGAGAAGGAAGAAAAAGAAGGAAAAAAAGAAACAGACGTGTGGGACAAATGGAAAATAAACAGAAAAATGGCAGATTTAAAATCATATCATTATTACATTAAACATAAATGAAATAAACAGACATTAAGACTGACAGAATAACTTTAAGAAACAGAAAAGCAGGACTAAATTACATGCTACATGCCTAAAATTTGAAAAAGCCCAAACACCTATCAACAGGTGAATATAAAAGCAAATTTGCCAAAATCAAACAATAGGAGACTTCTCATCAATAAAAATGACTAAGCTATTGATATAGTTAAGTGCAGTTCAAAATATTGTGCTGAGCAAAAGACATACACACATACAAATGCTGAATGACTCTATTTTCATAAAGTAATAGAACACTCACAACTATTCTCCAGTGATAGAAATCAGATCTGATAGAAATCAGATCCAGCTGATATGTATACAGTTTTCAGCGGTAGGGGAGAAGGTAGGCCTGAATAAAGGAATTATGATGAGACTTTTTGGGCTATAGAAATATTTTACTTCTTGATTGGGGTGGTATTCAAACAGGTATATACTTTTGAGTAACATCAATGAGCTATAAACTTAAAGTGGGAAATTCATTGTATTTTATGTAAATCATAATTTAATAAAATTGAGAAAGTGAATTAAATTAGAAATCAACAATATATCCAGAAATGCTCCAAAATGTAAAAATTAAACAATATACACTAAGGGCAGTGTTAAAATGTGGTTGCCTGGATGTTTAAGATCATACATACAGTTTAATTTGGAGGTATGAGCTTAACAATATAATTAATAATAATGAGAAAATTAACTAGTAAAGTTACACAAAAAATCATTTATATGCATATATACAGACACAAACACACATATATATATATACAATAATTACCAATTGAAGCTGAGCGCATTTGTCTCATGTGAGTTTCTATGACAGAAGGATCCCGAGAACTGTAACTTCCCAATTCAGGATAAAAGCTGGAGCCAATGTCATCTGGAGGGTTGTGTCTCCCTTGTGGATAATTCTTGGCTATTCTAGGGTCCCAATGCTCTAACACTGGATGATTCCAATGTATATATTTACCATCAAATTGTGGATTTCCATACCAACTGTAATAAAATACATGTAGATAATTGTTCAGAGGTGGTAGTTCATCCAAGTTAAGTTCAGAGGCTTTGGAAGGTTTCATAGTGATTTCAACACTTTTTAAATTCTTGGTATTTGTTTCACTGTTGATTCTGTCACTCTTTTGGAAATCAAAATTTTTCCCCAAATGAATAGTTCGTTGATGAAGTTCTGGAAGAAGGTCAAGTCCAAAAGGAGCTCCAAAAGTAGCTGTATTTGGTCTCAGCATTTTTAAACCCATCATCAGAGAGAAAATAAATAGAATAAAAAGTGCCAAAATGATGCAAGTCCTTCTCCGAAACTTTGCCATGATGACATACTTTAAACTCCAAAATAGTAAGTGTTTTGCTGCAATTTATTGAAAAAAGATAATTAGTAAGTGTTATCAACAGTATTTTCCAATATATTCAACACGAAAACTAAAATCCATAAATTTCATTACATTGAATAATTAATACTGATTTCATCACATATTGGTGAAATTAAGAAAGTGAAGACATTAATTATATCATCATATATAAATGTGTACAATAAGGGTCTATGGCTAGAATAAACGGCAATATTCATTTGGATATATCACCATGTACATGCCAATTACGTTTAGTCAGACGAACCTTTAGGAAATTTTATTTAAGAAATTAAAATATGTTTTTCATTACTTGAACAGATTACATGTATGCTGAATGTAGGAAGGGAACATTCTATGTATGTGAACTAAAATTCTGTTTAAAAATCATTTATTTATTTATTGTAGAGACAAGGTCTCACTATGTTGACCAGGCTGGTCTTGAACTCTTGGGCTCAAGCGATCCTCCTGTCTCAGCCTCCCACATTGCTAGGATTACAGGTATGAGTCACCACACACCTGGCCTGAACTAAAATTTTCTAAATCTAAGTGTAAAATTTACAAATCACAGTTAATAAAAAGGAAATACTTACTAGTGTATGAAAAACCCAGTCATTAAACAGATTTTCTAAAAAATTTTTAACTAACAATTTCATAAAAGGGAAAAATTACAAATTTTAAATAACATTTTGAAGTGAAATAGAATCAGACAAAATTTTTTAAATGACAGTAGAGAAAAAAAGAATAATCACAAGTAAGATATTCCCAATTTTTTCAAAAAATTCATTAGGCTGGGCATGATGGCTCATGCCTGTAATCCCAGCACTTTGGAAGGCTGAGGCAGGAAGATCACTTGAGTTCAGCAGTTTGAGACCAGCCTGGACAACCACGGGGAGACCCCATCCCTACACAAACTTTTAAAAAATTGGCTAGGCATGGTGGTGTGTGCCTGTAGTTCCCCAGCTACTCATGAGGCTGAGGCAGGTGGATTGCTTGAGCCCAGAAGGTCAAGGCTGCAGTGAGCCATGATTGTGCCACTGCACTCCAGCCTGGGTGACAGTGCAAGAAAACGTCTCCAAAAATAAAATTAACTTACGACTCTGAAAATCTTACTGAACAGAGGTTATAAACAGTAATTTATAACTTCTGAAAGGGTATTATATGTGTTTTTGTTTTAGTAAGTATGTTTATGGACATATATTAATGCAGTGCTTCTTGGCTGATTAAGAAAAGACATTATTGTTGTGTGTGTATATATATATATATATGAGTATAAGTATATAGGTACATATACACCATATGAATGAAATATTCAAGTCTTTTTATATACAGATTTCTTATTAGAAAGGTATTTGGCACAATGCTGACATTGACTGCTTTATAAAATGAGTTCTATGATACGGTGCTGTTATTATAGAGAATTAAGTTAAAAAAGACTTAACTCCAATAGAAAAGAAAGACAAGTGAAACTTCCTACAAACTGCTGCTTCTATTCTATCGGGGGAACCCATCCCCAATATTTCAACGTAGGTTCTTTCTATTTTCCATAAATGTCAACCAGTCTGAGAAATAAGAGAGAGAGTACAAAGAGAGGAATTTTACAGTTGGGCCACCGGGGGTGACATCACATATCGGTAGGACCATGATGCCCACCTGAGCCACAAAACCAGCAAATTTTATTAAGAATTTCAAAAGGGGAGGGGGTCCAAGAACAGGGAGTAACTCACAAGATCACATACTTCAAAGGGCAAAAAGGAGAACAAAGATCACATGCTTCTGGGGAAACAGGAGAAAAGGCAAAACAGAACTACTGGTAAGGGTCTATGTTCAGCTGTGCACCTACTGTCTTGATAAACATCTTAAACAACAGAAAACAGGGTTCGAGAGCAGAGAACCAGTCTGACCTCAAATTCACCAGGGTGGGGTACTGGAGGAGACCAGGGCGTATCTCAGTCCTTATCTCAACCGCATAGGACAGACACTCCCAGAGCGGCCGCTTATAGACCTCCCCCGAGGAATGCAATTCTTTTCCTAGGGTCTTAATATTAATGTTCCTTGCTAGGAAAAGAATTTAGTGATACCTCTCCTACTTGCACGTCCATTTATAGGCTCTCTGCAAGAAGAAAAATATGGCTCTTTTTGCCCGACCCCACAGGCAGTCAGACTTTATCGCTGTCTTAAAAATCGCTGTTACTCTGTTCTTTTTCAAGGTGCACTGATTTCATATTGTTCAAACACACGTTTTACAATCAATTTGTACAGTTAACACAATTATAGTGGTCCTGAGGTGACGTACATCCTCAGTTTACGAAGATAAGAGGATTAAGAGATTAAAGTAAGACAGGCATAAGAAATTATAAGAGTATTCTTAGGGAAGTGATAAATGTCCATGAAATCTTCACAATTTATGTTCCTCTGCTGCAGCTCCAGTCAGTCCCTCCGTTCGGGGTCCCTGACTTCCCACAACACTATTCTACATGTATTTAAGAAACACTAAACTAACCAAGTATATTTCTTTAACAGCTAAAATCATAAGAATTATTTTTAAGGTTAATCTTGTTTAATTGTGAATAGTGAATAATATAAAGAATAACATAAAAGAATAGTATAAAAGACATGTCTAGTTTAAAACATATAAAGTAAACATTCAAAAAGAAATCTGCCAGCTTAAAAGCTCCTTTCCACTTCTCGTGCTCCCTCTGAATCACCAGTCCTGCCCTTCTCCCTGCCTAAGGGCAACTGCTTGAATTTTGTGTTTACCATTTCACCTCTTCTTTCTTTATAGTTTTCCCACCGCACACAAGCATATCTAACTAAAGTTAACTGTATTTTGTCTGTTTCAAACTTTAAGTAAATATGGTGTGTGTACATATATACGTCATATATGTATATATGTATACTGTATATACGATATGCATACTGTAAATATATCAAGGCATGCAGGTACATACATAAACGTGTGTATGTGCATATGTACACATACATGCACATATATGTGTATTTACATATTGTGCATCTTATGTTATATATGGATACATGTCATATATATTTAGATATAAATATGTATGATTATATATACATAATTAAATGTATTTAAATTTATAAAACTCTTGGGAAACAATATTAATTACTAAATCTTTTCTGACACTTTACCTGGTATCCTAACTCTTACCCATCCCTGCATTCCATCACATCAGTTCCCTCCCTCTCTAATAAAAAGCTATGTAAATGAACTTTTAGTAAAGGAATAGGTAGACAGGTCTGGAGATTTTGTTTTAATAACTATATACATACTGACAAAATGTTCCTCCAGAAGATATCTAATTAATTACAAATGGGGAAATAATAACAGTGGAAAACCTACCAAAACACCAATTTAAACTAGTGATCAAAATTGACTTTATCAGTTAATTTGGATAAATAAGTATGGCCATTAGTCTTCAGCGAACCCGTACTGAGAAAAACACAGAATCACTGCTGTGGTACTCTTGTTAAAAATTAATCCAGATCTAATCACGAGGAACCATGAGACAATATATTAAAGAGAGGATACACACATATACATAAATACACACATATTCATACATATATGTACACCACATACATACACTATATATAAAATGTATGGCTTACATACAATGCAACGTATAATAAGTAAGGGTATGTGTGTTTGTGTATAATGGTAAGCAAATATGGTAAAATATTACCATATGGTGAATATGCAGGAAAAGTAAACAGAAATTGTTTGTGCTATTTATCCCAGCAGTAAATAGAAGAATGTGAGCTGTTAACATACCTGCTTATTTCTGGAAAGGGCTAAGTCACAAAGTCTTTCAAACCCTGCACTACATGACTCTGTGAAGTGAAATTTCTACATGTGAGCTGTGGCAGTCCTGTTGCACTAACAGGTATAAAAGGATGGGCTGGGCGTGGTGGCTCACGCCTGTAATCCCAGCACTTTGGGAGGCTGAGGCAGGCAGATCACGAGGTCAGGAGATCAAGACCATCCTGCCTAACACGGTGAAACTCCATCTCTACTAAAAATACAAAAAATTAGCCAGGCATGGTGGTGGGCACCTGTAGTCCCAGCTACTCGGGAGGCTGAGGCAGGAGAATGGTGTGAACCTGGGAGGCAGAGCTTGTAGTGAGCAGAGATCGCGCCACTGCACTCCAGCCTCGGCGACAGAGCAAGACTCCGTCTCAAAAAAAAAAAAAAAAAAAAAAAAAAAAGATGATACAACCATTTTGGCATGCCACTGTAATTTGTTGTCCTGAAATTTTCAAATCATTGACATCACAACAAACATTTCCCTTTGATTGAAGAAAGGGAAAATTTTGATGAGACATGAAGCAAAAATAATATTTTGGATGTAATATATCAACTACTATGATATATAATATCATATCTGTATTAAAGATACACATAGAAGGAAATATACTTAAACATGTAAAATAGTTATGTCTGGATGAGACAACAGTGATATTTTCTTACTCTGTTTTCTAAAAGTAGAACATAATACTTCAGAAGGAAAACATTTGGATAGGTATTCTATAAGGAAAAAAACAATGGTAATGAATGTTGGAAGAGTTACAGAGAAAGGAGAAATAACTAACAGATTTATAAATTAGTAAGGCATTCATTTTTGAAACGTTGACTTCAGCTGAATGGCGAGATTCATGAAAGATCAAGATATATAATAAATCTTAAGATGTAAATTCAAATCAGTCACACTTAGTTGTGTGATCCTGGGTAAATCACTTAGCCTTTTCTTAAAAAAGAGGGTATCTGTTTTGCCTACTGATAAAACTATTCTGTGAATCATGCAAGACAATTTGAAACAGTAATGTTTTAATCAAACAGTAAATACTAATGAATTTATAAATAAATGAAAAGTGAAGAAATATTGGAAACTCTAAAAAATTTCTTAGGTTCATTTTCTGGATACACTCATGAATACAAAGCACAAAATGTCCATTTATGGAAGCTGTTTTTTTTTCTCTCTCTCTTGCCTATGAATGTAATTTCTTAAGCTGATCCTCTGTCTTCTCATTTTACATTACTTCATTCATTCAATTAAAATGTGTGTTTATCACATCATTATAGATGACACACAAGCTCAATTTTAAGAGATGATCTGCTGGCTCTGGCTCAACCTCCATGTCTCAATTAAGTCATCTCAACCTAAATAAACACAGATGGGCATTGAGATTTAAAATATGAGCTCTGTAGTTCAAATGCTTGAGCTCAAATTCCAGCTGTGCCATTTTTTAGTTATCTGACCTACAAAACTGACCTGATCTTTCTGAGTTCCTTTCCTCACCCATAGAATGAGTTATTACTTCACTCATAGGATTTTTGTGAGGATGAAATTAGTTAATATTGTAAAACTCTCAAAATCATGTGGCTTAGTATAAGACTAAATAAATGAGCAATTGTTTATGATGATGATTAAAGATGGGTGTCCGACAAGCAATTAAAATATAACACATTTTATTCTAAATGCCTATTCTCTATATGACCAACTATTGAAATACCAGTCACCTTCAAGTCAAAGTTGAAATGCTGCCTCTTCTTGATACCTCTCCTAATTCCACAGTGAAAAGTACTTATTCCTCATATATTTTATTGTTAACAGTATTTACTTTTTAAATTGTCATTTCTTTTTTTTTTTTTTTTTTGAGACGGCGTCTCACTCTGTTGCCCAGGCTGGAGTGCAGTGGCACTATCTCCGCTCACTGCAAGCTCCGCCTCCAGGGTTCATGCCATTCTCCTGCTTCAGCCTCCCGAGTAGCTGGGACTACAGGTGCCTGCCACCACGCCTGGCTAATTTTTTGTATTTTTAGTAGAGATGGGGTTTCACCGTGTTAGCCAGGATGGTCTCGATCTCCTGACCTCGTGATCCACCCGCCTCTGCCTCCCAAAGTGCTGGGATTACAGGTGTGAGCCACCGTGCCCGGCCAAATTGTCATTCCTTATGTATTATATCATGCTGTGCATTTATCTTTATATCACCTACTAGATTGCTCCTTAAGTTTCAGAAATGGAGTCTTTATCTTCACATTCTAGTAGAGCATAACATATCTTTCACATAGTGTTCATTAAGTGTTCAGCTTTAAAAAAGTTAATTTCTGGCTCTTTGCTGTTTCATTGGTATTCAGGCAGTGTGTGTGTATATATATATATGTATATCTGTGTGTGTGTGTATATATAGACTACTGACCGTATACACACTTGATAAGTTTACGGTGTATACTGAACATATTATAAAGAATCGTAAAGATCCAATAATTTTAAAAATCCAATTTAATAAAAAAAATCATCTTCAACGCTGTAAAACCACAATGACCCTTGAGATGCCTAAAATGTCTGATCTTGCAGGAAAGGGGTGGAGGAACTAATTTAGCTTCAATAAAAGAAAAGTATTATAAGTCACCATAGAGAAAATATTACAAGTTTATTGCAGATATATCTTTCCAAGGCAGGGACCTACTCAAAGTATTGGCTACTGAAAATCTGTTTTCTCCTCAAAAGACTGTTTACATTACTCATACACAATAGGTTCTTTTGAACCTGTAGCTTCTATTTTTTGAGTTTTGTGCTTTTAATCCTTTGAAATGCTGACTTGAAGCTTAGTGATGTCTAATAAAAAATTATTGGACATATCCAGCTAGCTAAGAGACCCCAAGAGATTCAGAAGCAGGGTGGTATGAATTAGTACTTCAAAAATTATTTGCTTTTATCATGTAACTCACAAAAGCCAAAAAGACTTCCCTTTCAATTAACTAAATTAAATCACACAGACTTCTGGTGCTTTTTTTAAAAAATATATTGTTTTCTTCTAATTTTATTTTGTATGAAGCCACCGGAGATAAATATAACTCAATACTAGAAGACACATCTGGAACTTTCAAAATCAGTTTCAAAATCAATCCTTGCCCAGGTCAGTTTTATTGTAAACACTTGTACCCTCTGGTTAACAGAAATTCAGTGAGGTTTAGTTTCTGTTTTTTGTTTTGTTTTGTTTTGTTTTTGAGATGGAGTCTCACTCTGTTGCCATGCTGAAGTGCAGTGGCGCCATCTTGGCTCACTACAACCTCCACCTCCCGGGTTCAAGCGATTCTCCTGCCTCAGCCTCCAGAGTAGCTGGGACTACAGGCGCACGCTACGACGCCCAGCTAATTTTTGTATTTTTAGTAGAGACAGGGTTTCACCATGTTGGTTGGCCAGGATGGTCTCGATCTCTTGACCTCATGATCCACCCACTTCGGCCTCCCAAAGTGCTGGGATTACAGGCGTGAGGCACCGCGCCAGGCCGCAGAATTTTTTTTAACCTCATTTTACAAATGATGAAGCTGAGCAGTTGGTAACTTTTTCAAAAATCTCTGGGCCAGCAAATGGCCAAGAAACCAATCTAAGGTTAATCACCTAGCAAGGAGCAGATCGAGTCTGGCTCAAGAACTCAAGTTCTTGTCCATGCTATTCTGCCTTCCTTTAAGGTATTAGACAAATCAAATTTAGAGGATACACCAGTTATTTTTGTGACACAAGATGAAAGCTGCTGCTATATGGTTATGTTTTCAATTAAGGATTATGTACCTAATAAACAATGATTAACTGTTACCTACTCCATAAACTGTGCCCAAACTTCATCTAAAGACAGCTTATTCTATTTTATGATCATACATTCACTATTCGTCACACGAATAACAGCAACAGCTCTGGAAATGGTGTTTTCATTGTTGTGATTTTTTGTTTTGGGGGGTGTTTTTCTGCATTGAGCCTGAAAATCCACAAATTCACAGCACTCATGTTTTTTTCAGGTGTGATACACCTGAAATAGATGTATTGTCATGAAAGTGATTTGCAAACAACGTGATACAGTATCACCAATATCTAGGTTTTACTTTATATTTTTGTTTCAAACTACTGCCTCAATACTTTAACGTGAACAGCCTATTCCAGTCCCATTTTTCTTATTTTCAAGTTCTTAATCAACATTATCCCCCCCTTGTTGTTGTTTTATAGCACTTCCACATTTTCTCCTAACACTTATCCGTAGGGTCTTACAACAACAAAACCAAACAGTTATACCTGCCTGTACTTCAAGTTGCTTCTTTGGAAAAAGGAACAACAAAAACACTAATCCAGCACTGTTGCATCCCGACTTAGCAAAGGCTAAGAGTCTAAGATGACAGTGCCAAACACGTTAACAGGTGAACTGAAAAACCATCTCTAGCGGCCTCGCCATCGGGCGGTCTCCTCCCGATGCCCAGAGGCGACAGCTACCTTTCCGTTGCACCCAGAGCCCAGCAGGCCTCGATCCTTCTACTCTCCCGGTCGGCTCAAGGCCCAGAGGCAGTCTGGGGGCACAAGGAGAAGGTGCTGAAAAAGGCTTCCATCCGACCCGAAATTTCCACCTTGTCGGGGAGACAAGGAAAATCCGAGGCGACAGGAGGTACCGTTTCAAAGAGGAGGCGGCGACGAGGCCAGTGAGGTGGGGATAAAGCAGTGTAAAAGGCAGTAAAACTAACGCAGACTAAAACAGGCCTAAGAGTGACAGCCTAGGTTAATCGAGGGGGCTACAGGCTCGCCGCTGGGCGCCACCAGCGCCTGCCAGAGGGGCGCCGGGTCAAAGGGCGCCCGGAGGAAAGCGGCCACCAGATTGGCTGGCGGGCGAGCGCGCAGGCGCCCGCGGTGGACCTCGTGCCTGCCGCCGCTGCTGGCGCCGCCGCCTCCAAGAGGTCTGACTCCTGCAGCTACTCACCAGGGTCGGGTAATTCACTTCTTGCAAGGACTCGGCCAGAGGAGAGGTTAAGACCGCGAACATAGAGCTGACTGCCGCCGCGCCCCGAGCCCAGACAGCCCCTCCTCCCCGAAGGCGCGCGCACAGCGTTCCGGGCGCTTTCAGGGGCGGGACGGGTGGGGGCGGGGTCACGGAGCGGGCGGGGCTCGGGGTCTTCCGGAGCCTCCGGTCGCGGGTCTAAGAGGACTAGGGCGGGAGCGGCGCGGAAGAAAGAGAGGACTGCGTTTTGGGGCGTTCTGTCAGAGGGGAAGGACGTGTGGATTGGAGTCAGACTGCACTCCCGCCCTATTTCTGCAAGTAGAACTCACTGCCTTTAGAAACGGTCTTCTGAGGCTCTGTTGGGAGGCTCTAACTGTATTACAGAGGACACATTTTTGTTTGTTTTTATGTGAAACATTCAGAAGTTGCTTGCATCAAGTGCTTTACAAGTACACTGGTTTTCAAACTTTTAAAGTTGAGGAACTGTTTTGATTTTTGTAAAAATAGAACTTTACTTGGAAGCCCAAGGTAGGCAGATGGAGATGGCGTTTTTAATTTGCGAATGTATTCTATAAAATCACATCTGTACTGAAGTACTAGAAATAATTGAGGATAAGTCAGATGTGAAGAGCAAGAACTTTTGAAATAGGATTACAACTGAAGGTTTCCATCTTACATTAGCTTCAGAAAACAAGAAAATGCTATCTTTTGTTTGGTTACATAGTAACAGGAAGTCCTTATTCAAGCTAGAACTTGCTGATGTGAACAGTTTCATAAGGGCTCTCCTTAAAAAGATTTTGTACACCAATTTTAATTGGGAAATATACATATGAGTATATCTCATGTGCATATCTTAAAGAAGAATGAAAAATGCCCAGGTACCCACTACAGAGCTTAAGAAAAAAAAAATGCCAGTATTTTTGGAGTCTTCTAGAAAGAAGACTCTCTAAAAACATCTCCTTCCTTCCGTTCACCATTATGCTGAATTTTATATTACTCATTCCGTTGTATTTCTGAAAATAGTTACATATGTACGATTCCCTAAAAATACTATTTTCCTAGTTTTATATTTCATATGTGAATCATTCTTCATTTTTCCCCTTTTTTCACTAATTTAGGTTTTGAGAGGTTTTGAGATTCGTCTGTATACAAGTCCATTTCCCATAAACTAGACTGGCACATCGTTACCCTTATGCTATTGTTAGACTTTTTAAGTTTTTGCTGATAAGAGCATCTGATTGCTCTTTTAATTTGCATTTTCCCTTTTGCTAAAGCCTGTTCTTAATTTTATCTCATTTTTTATTAAATTGCTTGCTTTTGAAAATTATTTTGTAGATAATATTTATTTTTTCTAGTTTAATTCTCTCTTGTAAGTTACATGTGTTGCAAATGTCTTCTCTTAGTTTATGGACTGTCTTTCCAGTTTTTATGATGTTTCTTGATTGCCAAAAGCTTTATGCTTCAGTATACAGCTTTTTGAATTTAATAATATTTTACATTTTAATTTTGTGCTTTTTGCTTTCTTGCTTACAAGATTCTTCCCAACATAACATCAGAAACTATTCTTTCTTCTACAAGTTTAAAAGTTTAATTGTAGCAACTTTAAACACAGAAAGGACAAATAATAATATAATGAACACCCATGCACTCAACTCTATGTATTAAAACATTTTGCAAACCCCTCCTCCTAATGATTCTTGTCTAAAATTGCCTTAACTATACTTGGCTCTTTACTCTTTCATTGAAATTTTAGGATGAGCCAGCCAAGATCCATTTAAAAAATTGGATTTCAATTGGGCATTTTATTCAACTTGAGAATTGCATTTAGAGATTTAGTGAAATGTCTTCTTATCTATGAACATGGTATATTTATTTTATTCAGGTACTTTATGTGCTACTATGCTTTGTAATTTATTGAGTATCTTTCATTATATTGCCTCCTAGTTTTATTACTAAAATTAGAGATCTCTCTCTTTAAACTCTATTTTCTAATTGTTTAGTAACATTGTATTAAAAGAGCATCAATTTCAATATATTGGTACTATCTCCAGAAGCTTCGCTGAATTTTTTTGATTGCTTGCTTTATTTCCCTGTTACATCTTTGGATGACCTATATAGGTAATCATATCATTTGTAAATAAGAATAATGGTTTCCTTCTTTCTCTCTTTTCAAACCACTTATTATTCAGTTTTTTCTTTTATTTATTAACAGAGCATCCAGTGCAATGTTTAATGGAAGTAATAATGGCATTCTTGTCCCATTCCTCACTTTACTGCAATACTGCTAACATTTTATAATGATAACAATGTTTGCTGTGGGTTTTTGGTAAATACTTTATCAAGATTATTAAGTGTTCTGTTTCCAGTTCATAATGTATTGTTGTTTGCTTTTTTTTAACCATGAGTGACAGTTTAATTGATTAAATGCTTTTTCTGCACCTATTGAGATAATCATTGTTTCCTATTCTAATATATTTATGGGAATGATTAATACATTTTCTGATGTCAAATGAGAGGGAGAGGATTTTATTTTATAAATATGTTAATGCATGCTCACTTGCTTAAAAACTGGGTACTTTATGACTGCCAGTGTAAATAAATTAGGCAAGTAGATTCTCATTGCATCACACTCTATTCATTGCACAATGGTGTTTATAAACTGGATTAGAATTGCTGCTAGTGCCTCATCTTGTAACTCTGACTGCTCTACCTATCCCCTGCTATTGTCAGGGAATGTTGAGATGGCAATGATAGAAATAATGTTGTTAATATTCTTTTTTTCTTTCACATCACTTTTTTTCACAGTGTTTTTATGTAGAATTTTTTTTTTTTACTTGACATCACTGGAAAGTCAGCAATGTTTTGTTGTAATTATCACATATAGAATGTTATTACATTCTGAATCTTGATTTTGTTTTCAAATATGGGATGGCCATAATAACTGCCACATCCAATTTTTTTATCTCTCATATATACATATAGATTTAATTAGTTCAATAATTTCCTGAATGTAAACAATGTAGAATTTAGTAAATTAATAAGCACTGATGGGAAAGGTCTCCAAGATAAATGAGCAAGTGATTAGTATGTTAATACTTACAAGAGAAATTCACATTATATTAATATAAATTTTAAATATATATGTGCATGTATGATATATAAAAATATCTGAAAGGATATATGCATTGTTACCTATAGGGATGTAACAGAAGGGGAATGAAGGAGAATTTTCTTTTTTACTCTCTGTAGTGCTGTTTTCTTTTTTAATGTGAGCCCATATTTATGTATTTTTTAATTAAAAATACAGCACCAGAAGAATATGCCATTTATCTAATAGATGGTTTCTTGGAAAGAAAAAGAGCTGCATATAAATTCATTTGTGTAGTAAATAGACATTTTAAATGTGTTGCATCAGGGGTAATCAGTCACTGAGAGTCCAAAGACAAAAATGATCCAAAGAAGGAAGAATGGAGAAAAAAAAAATCCCCCATTTTTTTTTCTTTTTTGTCAAATTCTTGTATGGAAAGATTCTAACACAATAAACTAATAGTAGCCTTTGGTTTATCCTAATTAGCATTTATTAAAATCATAGTCCCCACCCCACAAGATCCTTCAGGTTAATCCTATCTTGCTACTAGAAAAGCGGCAGCCATTTATCTTATCTTTTGGCATCAGCATTGAAGAGTCTTCTTTGTATTTCCCAGACCTAAGCAGTTACACCTTCAACCATCTTTTTCTTGCCTCTATTTCAATGGGCCCTATTGTTTGTCTCCTGATTATTTCATGTCTATTTTTCCCTGTCCTAGAAGTTTCATTAGTATTTCCTAGCCATATGCCATTTATACCTTTGCTCATTACTCCTGTCACTGAAGATGAGAAATCAATTTCTGTCCATATCCTCTCCACTTACATTAATCAGAGATATATTTTGTAAGCAATAGAAATTGAATCTGGCAAACCTGAAAACAAATAGACTATGTAAAAAGTTACAGAATTTAGCATGAAGATGAAGGCTAGTACATTAGGTAATGGCAATGGATAGGAAACAAGAGGGGCTAGGAAATTGGGAACACAGCCTCATATAACAGTACAGATTAGGGCACTGCTGCTTTCAGGGCTGCACTGATCTCAAAGCTGCTGACACCACTATGAGTGACTTCTCAACTCTGTGTTGTCTACCTCGTTGCTTCAAGATTCAAATTTTGGATTGAGATCATTTGATTAGCTTACTCTAGGCTGTATGTCTTTTCCTCCTTAGCCTCCTTGAAGTAGAGCCCAGAACTTTTGGCTTTAATGGGAAATTGGGCACAAAACACAGAATACATTATTCTTCCAAAACCTGAAGGATTTTTAGATTCTAAGTAGTAACAAAATAAAATAAACTAAATCCCCAAACAATAGTCCAATTATCCATCACAGTATGCTTCACTGTCCATATAAAGTCTACTTTCTCCCTTACTATTTTATACTTACTGTTTTATTCTTTTAATCCCTATACATTTATAGGGAGTAATATGAAACAGCAATAATTTCTTAATTAACTAAATTGTTCTGTTCTTTTTATCATATCTGGTATCTGTGAAGGTGTAACTAAGGTATTCCTTGACACAGTTTGGGATGCAAAGAATGTAACTCCAATAGTGCCATGAGTAAAACACTAAAGTTTCCACCAATTTATAGCAGTAGATAATTCAGAGAGCCAAACTCATTGTTTCCCCTAATGCTCTGATCCTTTCACTGTACCTACCAGCATCCTGACAGCAAGGAATCCATTCTAACTCTATCCCACATAAATTCACGAACTATTATCAGACCAAGGAAAAAACTTGCCTTGGTAGGTCATGATTAAAATTCACTGGCCTCGTAGTGGTCACAGGTTTTAGGGTGACTTCTTGATGCATTAGATAAGGCTCTTCTAAGAATTGATGTACATAACCCAGAATTAAACTCAGTGTAGGTAACTTCTAACTAAACAGGCCAAGCCCCTTTGGTGAAAGTTTTTCTCATTCTCTGATCCAAGTACTTGCCCAGGTGATGGCCCTCCTGAGTGACAGAGATGGGAGAGCGTTCTGCCTTCCCAAATAAAGAAGGCAGAAAGTTCACCTCTGGTTGAATGGTGCTGTTAAATGCTAATGCATTGATTGACTATATATGGAACATTTCTCCTTAAGGAAACCCTATCCTGAAGGAAACCCTATTCTGCAAACAGGCATGGTGGCAGCTAAGGGAGATGCATGTCTTTAGTGGAAACCAGAGCCAGCAGGGAGATGTAGCACTTCCTGAGTTCGGAAATGACTCCACCAGTTGATATAGGGCCTCTCAGTGTGTTGAAGGAAGGAAGTCCTATGTTTTATGATTGAGCATTAGTGTCATACTACAATCAGCCACTCCCCAAATGTTGCATCACTGAAACTCCAGGTTTCACAGAGAATTTCCTAAGGTATTAGGTTTGAGTTTCTTCCTTCGTGGGATGCTATGGATTCTTTAACCAAACCAACCTAATCTTTCTCCTGCCATAGTACCACCTTCTCCTGCCATGCAAAAAGAAGCAGTTTGCAAAAGTCAGTAAAAGAAAAAAAAAATGCCTTGTTATTTCTCAAAATGATGGGCTCACTTGTCTTCTATTTATATAAGAGAGACCACAGTAATTATTCTCAACAGTATCAGCTACAAGGTGATTTTCTGTGCCTGCGTATTCTAAGAAGTAGCTGGCAATTTCTCTTGTTAAAAGAGAAAAAGAAAAAAACATGCACTTACTCGCTGATAAACATTTTTCTGTTAGAGAACCCAATTAAATAGCAGGCCTGTGTTGTGTACGTCTTTTATACACCCTGTAATGCCAGGTTCCATGAAGGCAGTTCCAGAGATAGTCTAATTCAGAGCTGGGGCTCCAACTCCCAACACATAGTAGGTGCTTGTAGTAGGATGATAATAATTCCCAAAGATACAGAGGTCCTAATCCTCTGAACCAGTGAGTAATAATTCAAATGGCAAAAGGGACTTTGCAGGTGTGAGGAAGGATCTTGAGATGAGAGTTGTCTTGATGGACCCTAAATATAGTCACACATGTCTTTATAACAGGGAGGCAAAGGGAGATTTGACAAAGAAGGCGGCAATGGGACTACTGAAACAAAATGCTAGGCTGCTGGCTTTGAAGATCAGACTAGGGACCAAAAGTAAAGGAACGCAAGCATTTCATTCAAGCTCTAAAAGCCAGAAAAGGCAAGAAAAACCTTCAGAAGGGAGAGTGACCATAATAATACCTCAATTTCAGCCCAGTGAAACTGACTTCAGACTTCTGACCTCCTGAACTGCAGGAGAATAAATGTATGCTTTTTAAGCTACCAAGTTTCTGGTAATTTGTTCTAGCAGCCACAGGAAACTAATACAGTTTTCAACAAATATGTGTTGAATAAATAAATCAATGAACAGTAGGGATTCAATAAATATTACATTAATTATAAGATGCCCAGATTGTTTCTTTGAATGTGAGAGAAACATCATTCTTTAAATGTATCTGCAAAGTAAAAGCTAATTGCATTAATATAAACTGAGTTGTTATTTACCAATTTTTATTCTGGCTGTTTTTGTTTTGGTTTGTTGAGATGGGCAAATATGTTAGCTTCATAATAATTGGTTTTATTTGATTATGCTTTTATTCACAATGTTGAGGGGTGCCTACTTTCAGAAAACATATATTCATCACAAATCTCTACCTCCTAGGAGTTTGCCGTCTACCAAGAAACACAGAGATATACAGTGTGTGGTTTATATTGATTATCTGCTTACCACTGTTTGGATTACTTTAATTATTTTTGTATATGTCTATATCTCAAAAGAGTTTGTGCCCCTGCAAGGCAGTCTTTTCTGCATTCATCTATTTACAGCATCTATCACAATGCTTTCCACATAGCAAGACTTCAGAAATATTTAGTTGAATGTATCTAGTGGCCAGAAATTCATGCTTTATTGACTGAATAAGGAATGAAGGAAACACAGTGTAAGAGTATGTGTGTGGGAGTGTGTGTGTGTGTGTGTGTTTATACATATGTATGATAATTTGGTGGTAACATTTTGTTGTTCTTCTTTCAAAATAAATTCCCTGAGTGTGATGTCTACTCATCTGTTAAAATAAAAATATGCAACAATAAAAGCAAAGCTTATCAAGTTACCATTTATAATTTTACAGCAAATATTTATATATATAAATATGTATATAATATAAATTATTTTTATATAAATATATGTATTCATATAATCTATATGTATTTATATATAATTTTATATGTATTCTATATATGTGCTATCTGTAGTATTTTATGATTCATAGAAAAAGATAATGTGCTCCCAAAAATACGTGCTAAAAATACATAATACAAATTTCATACATACATACATACATTTGCACTGCTTTTGTGGGTATGGAATTTGTTATGAGATACAGTGTATCTTTATTCCACAACATTGACTTTTTTTACAATTTGTATAACTTGATCATGAAAAGTATAGGAATAAAGATCAAAAGAATGTGAAAATACTGAGTATAAAATATTTTTCAAGTGAATATCAATGATATTTCATTAAAACACAAGATAAGGAAATTTTATTCTGGGTTTATTTACCAAGGAACAAAATATTTTGGCTTCTCTTAATTTTTTCCCCTTCAATTGTGATTTCCTTCTGCATATGTTCAAGCTCCCCGGATAACTCATCTTCCTTGTTGTTCCTGTGGCATTTTTGCATCTAGACGTGAGATTTATTTTCCCTCAAGCTCTTACTGTGGGCAGCTCAGTGGTATTCCCTATATTCTAATATGTAGCTCCAAAACACTTACTGCCCGGCGGTACCTGGCTTAGGCTACTTATTAACTTCCTGTCTAATTTCCACAGTCTTACGTCTGCTGGAACATTGTTGGATTTTGGCAACTCATAGAATTTTAGACTATTAAGAGACATTAAGTTTGAGCTGGACACTGTTTATTTTACTTAGTAGAACAATCTCTTCTACAACATTCCAAACAGGTGGTAGCCATACATTGAACAGCCAAGAATAGGTGACTGATTCTCACAAAGTCAGGACAAATTGCTGCAAAGTTTTTATCAAAATAATTCTAAATGAATTTCCTTATTTCTTCCATACAGGTTTCCTAGCTCTCTTTATTGAGCTTTACAAAATACCGTAATACCTCTTCTACAACAAAAATAAATAAATGAATATGTTTCTAACTTTCTTTCAGAACATTTTGACCCCTTTAAAACTTCTCTGCAACTTTGCAAAACATCTTGATAATATCTTTAAGTGTGACAGCCAGAATAGAATAAAGAAACGAGTTGCTGGTACAGAATACAATCTATTTTAGAAAATATTGTCAGTGCAACCTGGTATGCCCAGTCAGGAGGAAAGAAAAGGCACTGATTCTTCATATCAACCCTACTGTAAATTTTACGGGGAAAATTTCTGATGAACACAATTCTGGGTGAACTAACTAATGTGGCTACACAGCCTCTCTCCCACACAAAGAAATGCTAAATCAGGTGTAATTTTAAAATATTTGGTTTTACTATGTAGCCTGAGAGGGAGAGAGAGAAAAAATGAGAGAGAAAAAAATTCTAAGTGTCAAGAACAAGTAGAAAATTTGAAGCCAGTGACTTGGTGGAGAAGATTAGTCGTGGATGAAAGACTCTTTCCTAACTTCTGAAACTGTAATATTCAGCCAAGGAAATGAGACAACTTATTCTTGCATCATAAGGATTTTTTAAAAACTGGACCGAATTACAAAGAGAACTTGCAAAGTTAATAATCATATTGAGATTGGTAACATGCTTCTACCAGAAATAATAGGTAAAGTATAAAACTATTAGAATATAGATTATTTCAACGAAGCACTTAAGGGAATTTATTTATTGTACTTACATATCATCTTGTACCTGAAAAAATAATTCACTTTATTTTAAGAAAACATTAGTATGTACAAAACTTTAGCACATTCTAGGCCACTAAAGATTGTTTCAGGAAATACCAAATAACAACATATAAACTGTATTCTTTGACAAATATTTAATGAAATTAAAAAACAATAACAAAACAGTAGCCATTCATCAGGTATAGGAATGAAATGACACAGACCAATGATTCATGGATTAAAAAAGAACTAAAAGTAGAGATTATATTTAGAAAAGAATTATTTTAAAAGGGCTTCATGTTAAAATATGAGCATTAATGTAAACCCAAAAAGTCAAAAAAAGGGAGAAATAGTGATAACAGGAGAAAGTAATAAAATAGAAAATAAAGATACCAGAGTCTTTAAAAAAATAAACTATTAAAAATAAATAGGCCTCCAACAGAAATGAGGGGGAGGGCAAAAAGAGAAAAGGAACAAATAATATCAGGAATGGAAAAGGAGTAATAAAAGTACTGTAAGCTTTTAAAAAGTCATCAGAGAATGCTAAGAATAAATGCCAGAACATTTGAAAACTTAGATGTTAATTTTTTAAAAATGTATAAATGATGAAAGCACACTCAAGAATAGGAAAACTGGCCATGCACGGTGGCTCACACCTCCCAGCACTTTGGGAGGCCTAGGCGGGTGAATCACGAGGTCAGGAGTTAGAGACCAGCCTGGCCAAGATGGTGAAACCCCATCTCTACTAAAAATAGAAAAAATTAGCTGGGCATGGTGGCGGGCACCTGTTAATCCCAGCTACCTGGGATGCTGAGGCAGGAGAATCACTTGAACTGGGGAGGCGGAGGTTGCAGTGAGCCGAGATGGCACCACTGCACTCCAGCCTGGGTGATAGTGCAAGACTCCGTCTCAAAAAAAAAAAAAAAAAAAAAAAAAGGGGGAACCTGAACAGACCAATAAAAATATATAAATTAAAGAATGGGTCATTAATCAAACATGTACTCACACTAACCAAAATAGTCATCATAATAGTATCAGCTGCAGAGGCAATAGTGTGAATGATAATATCAAGAACCCATTAGGCATACAAAGTTTTACAAGAGGTAACTAAAAAATATTCAGGGAAACAAAATAACTTTGTATCTCAGGCAAATAGGGCTAAATTTTACCTGAGTGGTGGGTATATGCATTTTATAGTTTTAGCAAATTAAAAATATTTTGTAGTTTAAAAACTAAAGGAAGATCTAGGAGGAATTTGGGAACACTTGATAAGCAAGAATAATTTTAAGTATATTCTCCATGAAAGACTTTTCTAAGACTTGATTGGAGACTTAGCTTATCTCAGTGCATATTAGCTATTAGGTGTTCATAAATTATCCCAAGACACCTTTCTGTTTTCATTTAGGTCGCTTAGAAACTAGTACTCTCAGAACATGGAGTGGAAGAGGTGATCATGGTAGCAACAGACTGAGGAGTGAATTTGAACTTGAGGTAAGTGTAGGTAACTTTATCTACCGTGGTGCAGGAAGTGTCCATTTGAACGTGTAGAGTTAGCTGCCTAGTCAGTTGAGTTTAAGCACAAATCTTTGAGACCTAGGAGTATGGACCTTTTTATTAAAAATTGTCCTTAAATATTTTCTGAATTAGTAACTTTTATATTGCCAATTCATCTTAGTAAGAAAATCTACTAGGGCAAGAGGACAGTCTTATAAAATCCTGTGTAGATCTCTAATGTCTCATTAGAATACATGGGAGAGTCATAAAAAGAAGAAATAAAGGTACTCAATATCTATAAAAGTAGTTTTGAGTCCTGAAAGGACAAAGGCCATGGCATTAAGATGACTGATAATATCCAGTTGTAGCCAGGATGTGGAATATGTATACTCTCACATTTTATTGGTGGGAATACTAATTGGTAGAACCTTCTTGAAGGGAAATTTGGCTGCACTACTCTTTGAGTGAGCTATTCTATATTTAGCTATTTTTCCTACAAAATTATACCCATAATGAGAAAAAACTGCACACAGTGATCTCTCTTTGTAAATGACATGAAAAGATGTCCATATATAGTTTTTAAGAAGAATGAATTTGCAAAATTATGTAGATAGCTATGTAAAGATATATCTGTATCAATTTTATATGGTTGGCATAATAAATTACCACAAGTTAAGTGGCTTAAGCAATGCAAATTTATTATCTCACAGTTCTGTAGGTCAGAAGTCAGACATGGGTCTCTCTATGCTAAAATCAAGGTGTCATCAGGGTTGCCTTGCTTACTGGAGGTTCTTGGGGAGATTGTTTCCTTGCTTGTTCAATTATTTTTTTTGGCAGATTTCAGTTGTATAACTGAGGTATATGTTTTCTTGCTGGCTATATATTGAAGGCAGTTTCCAGTTCCTAGGGGCCTCCATGTTATCTGGCTCATGGCTCTATGCCTCCATTGTCAAAGCCAGCAATGTCAGATCCAATTCTTCTCATATCACATTTATCCGACCCACTCATCTGCTTTCCTCTTTCACATTTAAGGATATCAGATTATATTGTGTCCAACTGAATAATCCAGGATAACCAACCCATCTCAAAATCTTTAACCTCAACCACATGTGCAAAGCTCCCTTGTCATGTAAAGTAACATAGTCACAGGTTTTGGGCAATAGGATGTGTACATATTTGGGGGCCCATTATTCCACCTACCCCAGTATCTGTAAGTACGTTTAATATAAATTATATTATGTAAATATATAGGCATATACAAATATGTATACATACAGGAATGAGGAGAGAGAGAGAGAGAACATCAACAACAAAAAACAAATGTATATGTGTCTAAATTTTTAGAAATAAACATACCAAACACTTTAACAGTGTTTTTCATAGAAAGTGGGTTTCAGTTTTTATATATACTTTTAAGAATGGTTTGTATTTGTACGACAAGCACACATTAATATTGCACTTTAAAAGGTAAAAAAAAAATTAATTGATCAATTAGGCTCAAGCACTTGATCAAATTCAGTTGCTATATTTCCTAGTATAAACACCTAGGGAAAGAAACAATCTCTAAGTAAAATATGTGTTCCATGAATTATTCATCAAAATAAATGGCAGACTTCACTGTAGGTGTTATGCTCTAAATTGAAGAAATTAACCTTTAAAGTATTGATTGGCTGAATTGCTGCATGTCTAAATAGAGTGGCAATTCTCAGTACATAATAATCATAACAGTACTACTACTAACTCCTGCAATCATAGTAAAAATATAAAAATAGTTTCTTTTATATTTTATCACTCTCAAAACATTTTCAATTACATTACTCTTATAAATTCTGAAAACAATCTTTAATATTAAGTAGGCAGCATAGAAAATTATCACATTTTGGAAGGAAAAATATTCAGAGGACCTAGATAAGACTTGCTCAAGGTCCAATAGGCCAAAATTGTGCAGAACCAAAATATGTACTTAGATTATCTGTTTTAGGATATATGTACAATATAAAAATATAAGACTTCTTCCCTCATGAAGTTAACAGTCTATGAAGGGGGATAAGACATGCATGTAGATGGCTTCACTCAAAGCAAAAAGTCATGAGTGTTATTTAAAAGGGTTCCAATGAAGTGTTGTAAGAGTTCAGAGAAAAGTTATTTGGAGGGGGCGGTTACTCACACAAGTACTATTTATACTGGGTATTAAATAATAACTAATTATGGAATATTTTCTATAAACAAGAATGGAGTAGTAGTGTGAAAGTATCAAAGCAGGATTGAACAAGAGTGGCTCTTTTGGAGGTAATGGCAAGGAGAAGCCAGAGAGAACCAAGAGTTATTGTGCAATTAGAATGAGCAGCAGAAGACAAATGAGAGAAAAGAATCAAAGGTGACTCTATATTGTTCATTCTAGATATATAGGCTAATGGAGTTGCTGGCAAGGCATGGGAAACATTTTCTCACCTTCTCTGACTTCTCAAACCTACTGTACAATTGTTACTGCCCCCAGCACTCCTCAGGAATTGCTTTTCACAAAGTCTCCAGTGATTTCCTTGCACTAAATATATTTTCAGTCTATACCATACTTGATATCTTGGCTATATTCAGCTCTATACTCAGCTCCATCCATCTTGAACATTTTCTCCCTCTAGTTTCCTTGACCTCACATTCTCCAATTTGACATTAGGCATCCATGTAAAGCGCTTACTGCACTCAATCCTCTGTGCACACCCACATGTTCTAAACATATTATATTGGGTCCTAATATTATTTCTCTTACTTTTCTTAAACTCCACAATTCCCCTGTAGACTTCTCTTTCTTGGTCTAGATCTTAAATAGACTCTCTTCTGTCTAGGCGCTCTCTCATATGACACATACTCACTGTTGGAAGTCTCTTTTCATTTTCATGCCTTCAATAACCACTTTGTGCTCTTCTGGTCCATATCTCAGTGGAAAGTATCCTTATACATCTTATAGATCAAGACATCATTATAGATCTTATAGATCAAGCCATAATTTTTGGCCTCTTTTTTCCCCTCAGAGAAAATACAAATCTTTCAAAATATATTTAACTTTTCTCTATTTCTTTCCCTATTTAACTTTTCTCTATTTCTAATATCACCACTCCAATGAAATGTTTTATTATCTTTCATTTAAGATCTCTCATTCTGATTGATCTTTCACCTGCCTTTGGCCTTTCAATACGACCTCCACACTGCAGTCAGAATGATCTTTCTAAAAATCAAATTGATCATGTGATTCCTGTCCTTATAACCTTCCAGTACTTTCTCTGTCTCTCAGGATAAAGTCCAAATTCTATAACACAACATATAGAACCCTTATGGATTTGGCTGGTGAGCCCTTTCACTCTCAAAACTCACTACTCCATACTCCCTTCACTTTAGCTGTCATGAACAATTTTCTGTTTCTAGACTTATTTGTGTGCCATGTTTGTTCTTACACCCACACTACTGTTCTCTCCTTCTCCCCTTTACATGGCTAATTACCATTCAAGCTTTAGTGCTCAACTTAGACATTACTCCTTTTAAGAAATTTTTCTGACACCCAAGTTAAGACTAGGTTCCCCATTTTGTTCTTTCATCCTGTCCCAAACTCATTATATCTTGGCCTTATCATGTTGCATGGTATTTGTCTGCTTACTTATATGCATGTGTGTCTCTTAATTGTGTGCAAACTTCTGCGGGAGAATCACCTTATCTACCTCTTTCACTGATTACCCCCAGCAAAAGGACCTGATACAAAGGAGGTATTTGATAAATACAACAATGAATAAATGAACAAATGAACATCTGAATGAACAGGTAGAGACATTTGGGAAGGTAGAAGATGATGCTCTCAGTATTGGGCATATTGCTTTGACTAAAGGCATTACCAGAATATTCAAGCAGGAGCAGGAAATCATCTGCATGGGTAAACCAGAGCTTATGGGAAGTACAAAAGTAGAGAGTGAGATCTGAGAGCCATCCACAAAGTAGAGAGAATTGAAGCCATAAGACTAGATGAAATTGGATATAGAAAATATAGATGAAAAGAGAAGACAGGTAACGATGAAACATTTGGAAATACCTATATCAATTTTTAGCTGAAAGCACAGTACACCTGAAATCAAGTGAGTAAAAACTCCATTAACGATTCTAGGCCAAAAAAAAGGACTCCAGGCAGTTAAAAATTAATAAGAATTAATGTTTGAGAAGAAGAAGCTGTTGACAATGACTTCCAGACAAATAAATGTATTAAACACTGGTATACCTAAACACTTTGACTACCTAATGCTCTTAATTACCTGGTAATTAAAGGCTAAAATGTCTAAAGGAACATGAAAATAGTGAGCCTACATGGTGTAGGAGCCATGGCTAATCAGTCTACTTTGAACTTGAAGTAATTTACTTTAAAACAAATCAAGGAAGATGCATTGCTTCTTCCGAAGAGTAGTGTGACATTTCAGAAAGTAAATACAAGAAATTCTGGCACTTCATAATTTTCAGTAGGGAGGAATGAAGGCAATGGCAAACACAGCCTAGAGCAAGCCAGACCCTTACTTTCTCTGATAAGCAGCTTTTGGAATTATCTGCACTGGGAGATGTACAAGAAAGTAAGCTACTCAAAAAGGAAATCAGCATGTGGTAACTTTTCTCTGATCTACCGATTCTTCCTAAAGCTTGGGCACTAACCTTGAAAAGGCAATTGGATACCATGATATTCCTAGACTGAAGGCTGGGCCAAATGGAAAAGGAGATACAGAGAACTGGTCCCTAGTACAGTAACCTTATAAATGACAGAGAGGAAATCATACACAGATTAAATTGTTCCACTAAATCTGCTCATGCCATACCCTCCTTTTAATTCTTTTTAGAATGCTGGATTATTAAAACTTACACTAATTGCCTTTCCAGTTTAAAACGTTAGAGAGATGTTCCAAAAATATACTTGGCATATTGTATGTATATACATACATACGCATATGTGTGTGTGTGTGTGTGCGTGCAATGTGTAATGTGTAGTACACCTGAAATATATTTCAGGGGTGCAATGAAGACATCGAAAAGGTTTTCTCCCATGTGCTGTTTGGACAAATACCAGGCCATAAATGACCCCTCTTCATTCAAGAAGGAGAAACAAAGATAAAAATACAAAAAGGAATTGATTTTTCTAATAACAGTAGCAGAACAAAACTGTCTAAAGATTGTTCTCAAAAAATCTTCCTTGAGAAACAAAAATTTTTTAAACGTGCCTGTATTATACTGTCAAAAAAATTCACAAGGACTCTTACAGCAAAAATATAAGATGAAGTGATGAACAAAATACTGAGTTCAAATTCTACAAAACACTCTTTAATATTCCTTAATTTTATGGGATTTGGGCTGAAGATGCATATTATACGTGAGACTTCATTCCCCACCACCTGTCAAAGCAAGCGACTATGGACGTCAGACTGTATGAGTGGCTAGACAGGAAACTACCCATAGGAATATACTTTGTTATGCTTCTCTGGTCTGGTGGTGGGCTAACAGTAGGGGTTTTTATAAGATAAAGGGGCATGTAAAACTTGGATATAAGAGGGCACCACAATTGTTTAGACCAAAATCCGTAAATAAAGACCTACACGTAGAAAGGTAGAAGTAAAGATAAGGAGAAAAGAAAGAGAGATCAGACTGTTACTGTGTCTGTGTAGAAAGAAGTAGACATAAGAGACTCCATTTTGTTCTGTACTAAGAAAAATTCTTCTGCCTTGAGATGCTGTTAATCTGTAACCCTAGCCCCAACCCTGTGCTTGCAGAGACATGTGCTGTGTTCACTCCAGGTTTAATGGATTTAGGGCTATGCAGAATGTGCTTCGTTAAAAAAGTGCTTGAAGGCAGTATGCTTGTTAAAAGTCATCACCATTCTCTAATCTCAAGTATCCAGGGACACAATACACTGTGGAAGGCCACAGGGACCTCTGTCTAGGAAAACCAGGTATTGTCCAAGGTTTCTCCGCATGTGGTAGCCTGAGATATGGCCTCCTGGGAAGGGAAAGACCTGACTGTCCCCCAGCCCGACACCTGTAAAGTGTCTGTGCTGAGGAGGATTAGTGAAAGACAAAGGCCTCTTTGCAGTTGTGATAAGAGGAAGGCATCTGTCTCCTGCTTGTCCCTGGGCAATGGAATGTCTCAGTGTAAAACCCGATTATGTGTTGTATTTACTGAGATAGGAGAAAACCGCCTTAGGGCTGGAGGTAAGACTGCTAGCAGCAATACTGCTCTTTAATGCACCGAGATGTTTGTATACGTGCATATCAAGGCACATCACCTTTTCTTAACCTTGTTTATGACACAGAGACCTTTGTTTACATGTTTTCCTGCTGACCCTCTCCCCACTATTACCCTATTGTCTTGCCACATCCCCCTCTCCGAGATTGTAGAGATAATGATCAATAACTACTGAGGGAACTCAGAGACCAGTGCTGGTGCTGGTCCTCCGTATGCTGAGCGCCGGTCCCCTGGGCCCACTTTTCTTTCTCTATACTTTTTCTGTGTGTCTCTTTCTTTCCTCAGTCTCTCATCCCACCTGACGAGAAACGCCCACAGGTGTGGAGGGGCCACCCCTTCATACAAAGGAAATAGGCACTCATGCAACAAAGATAATACCAACATCGTGCTATTATTATTATTATTTTTGTCTCTTCAACAATGTGGCAAATTTTCCATAAAATGGAAGAACAATTTATATTACAAGTTCTTGCAACAGGTGGTGAATATAGCATCTGATGAAGTAATTTAAAAAATAACAATCCTGTTGCTTGATAGTCTGAAATAATAGGTCTTACTCTCCTTAGGCAGCTAAACAACTAAGCAGATAATAAAACGTTATACTCCTCCATCCCCTTCAACTTCATTCTACGTGAATGATAAAATGAAGCACAATAAATAGAAGACTTAGAAGAATTCTACGAAATTCTTGTATCACATAAGTTATTTTCTTTGCAAATTGCAAATGGTACCCTCTCTGGGCTGAAAAATAGTAGAAAAAAATCCTTTCCTTTAGACTAATCAAGACTTTTCACCTAACCTCACTCTCTTTCACCCTCCAGTTTTGTCTTGCTGTTTTTCATTGATGGAACCCAACTGGAAATCAGAATACAAGGGCACTCGATTAATTCAGTTCACAGAGGACTTCTTCCTGTGGCACGGAGCATGGTGGGGAAAGGTACAAAGTAGACCTCGAGAAACAAACAGCATGGTGACCAGTCACAAAATGTATACAGAAAATTAACAGATTTTTTTTCCTTGAAGAGATCAAATCTAAAAAACAGTATAAAAATAAGAATGTGCAGGATCTATATAAAGAAATCTATACTCTACCAAGGTACCTGAAAAAATACACAGATAAATGAAGGCTTATGGCTTGATTTTAGGTATAAAAAGTTAATGTTTAAAGACATCCATTTATCCACCTGGATAAACATGGTCATTATTTTTTAAATCAAAGTCCCAAGAGCTCCATTTCACAACCTGAAACTATTTAAAATCATGTTAGAAAATTAAATAGTAAGAAAATACTAGAAAAAATCAGAAGAATGAGTAGAATCATAGAGCTACAATAATTAAAATAGGATGGTTTGGGGGGAAGATCAGTAAGTTAGATCAATGAAATTGCATAGAAAAGCAAGAAATTGATTATTATATTTCTATGGGCACGTGAAAACTGTGGCATTTCTAATCACAGGGGAACTTATAGATTATAAGATAAAAGACATTAAGCCTATTGGATAACTAGTTTAGAGAAAAGAAAATTCAGTTACGATCTGACCTCAAGAAAAAAATGTAAATAGATTAAATATGTATATGTAAAATCAAAAAAATCATGAATATATAAATAAAATTCGATAAGTGTTTCTATATTTCAGATGTGGGTCTATACGGTAATTTTATAATAAATCAATTAAAAGATATACTAAAATCATTTTAACTGGGTGAAAACCATTTTCACTCACTTAATTTTTTAAAATGGTGAAATCCACTCATAAACAGTAGCCAGAAATCAAAGTCAGAAGGCTAATATGTATTTAAAAAGCTAAAGGGTTAGCTTTAGGAGTGTCCAACCTATGGAGTCACACAGGACCATAGTTAATAATGGCCTCATACTTGGTTTGATATTCTGCTGTCACAGTCTTGAAATCCTTAACAATTTTTGAACAAAGAGCCCTGGATTTTCGTTTTGCACTCAGTCCTGCAAATTAGGTAGCGATCCTAGTTAACCTTCCCATATACTGAGTGAAATACAAACTAAAACCTGAATTTAAAAATTGTTTTTAGGTTGAAAACAGTAAAATAAAAACACTTATTTTTTTTACTTGACAACATCAAGAATGCAGAAAAAGAAACACTCATATACCTTTAGTTCAACCATTTGCAAATACTCAGGAATCATATATCAAAATTTAAAGTGAATACTTTTTATTGAGCATTTTTTTCTACAGGAATACATCTACAGGAACTAATTGAACCCATACATAAAAATCAGGATATTTATCACAGTATTGCTAATAATAACAAAAATATGTGAACCAATCTAAATGTTCATAAAAATTGGTTATATATTGAAGGATACATTTCTGTAGTTTCATTTATGCTTCAACCTTAAATGTGATATAAATATACGTATAAACACACACATTTGAAATGTAAAGATGTACAGTAGAGTGATATGGAAAGATACTCATGATTCATTGTTACGTGGAAAGCCAACTATGTAACAGCAAAGATAGTGAAATGCTACAGGTAGCTGTACAGAACTTTTTATATATAGGTATAAAAATGTGTGAAAAGAAAAACAAAGATATTTTTATCCAGAATTACAGGAACTTTTATTTTCTTGTTACAATTTTAGATAGCCTTCCTTTTAACAATGGGCTTTTATTTCTATTAAAATAGAAAAATAAATCAGCTTGAACTAATAAGAACTGGGTCATTTATGGCTGTGATCATTTAAATATTTATATAAATAATTTCCAAAAATAGTTATTTTTTTTATAAAACAAAGGAATTAATGTAAACAGTTTGGAAAGAAAAGTTAAATAACTTTAAAAAGTTATGTTGTTGCAAACATGTCAATTATACAGCTAAAAATTGGGGGGTGTAAGTATAAGTATACTAGTTTCCTAATCTTAAAAATCAGCAATTACATCTATACTGCTTCAGCCCTGACACAGATAGGTAGAAGAATATAGGTTTCATTTTATTTTTGCAAAGCATAAAGGCAGTCAAATTTACAAAGATTTGGAGAAGCATAGAAAATAATTTCAGATGGTACATGATTATGAGATAGAAACGTGAGGTAGTATGTCTTGAACTGGAGTGAAGAATAGTACTTAATGTGAAAAATAATAATTTATACAGATTCAAATTCAATTAAAAAGGAAACCATATCACACTTAATGAACTGCAGAAAATTTTAGTCTTTCATCTAAAATGAGAACACACAGAATGTAGCTGAATCCAGACGATGTATTACAGTCATTGAGTTAATTCTCTATGCTGATTAAAATAAAGACATAATCTCCCATAAATTGCTTCCTGATATTCCTTTAAGTTGTTTTACTCGAACGAGATTTAAGATGGAGAAATATAGCAGACATCTAAATGCAGGACCACCTGCAGGTTGAGTCTCAGAAGTCTGATGAGTAGAGATACTTTAGTCAGGTGTCTGATGCAAAACATCACATTTCTATCATCATTTTCAACTGGAAAGGGGCTTCTTGGAGGTAATCTAGGACTGTATGGTAGTCAGAATGAAAAGTAACATAATACAAATTTCATCTGTATATTTGAACTATTAAAATTTACTTTAAAAAATTATTGGATATTTAGTCATCTTGCCAAAATCACTTAAAGTATATTAAGTTATTTTATGCACTCTTTGGAAACATTTTTACCTATGTAATCAAAGTGGTAGAATAAGAAACATTATATAAAAATTCAAAAGTTGAATCCACTTTGTCTGTATTCATTATATTGACAGCTGGATAAAATAAAATAATTAAAGAACTTATGCCTTTCAGAACATTAACTAACAGTTTCTAACTGCTTCAGTTATTCAAGATAAGTTCTGGATATCTATACAGCATAGTGACCATAGGTAGCAATACTATTTTATTGTTAAAATTTATTAAGATAGTAGGTCTTATGTTAATTCTTTCTAACACACAAACACACACAGATTAATAAAAAGGAAGTGGGAAGAAACTTTGGGAGGTGATGGATATTTATAACCTTGAAGATGGTGATGCATCATGGATGTATACTTACTGCTAAACTTATGAAGTTGTATATGCTAAATACGTACAGCGTTTTACATGTCAATCATATGTCAATAAAGTGGTTTAAAACAAAAACAGAAACAAATCTACATTAATTGTAAATGCTTATAAGTTATCAAAAGCAATACTGAATTAACGAGTGGTGATTTGTGAAAAATGTTTTTTTTTAATGAAGCTGACCCTATACATAGGTGGATGCTTTAGTGACAAAATTTGTTGATGCTTGCGAAAACTTCAGACGATAGGTGGCCAAATGAATAAAAAACAAAACTGCTGCTGATTTTCTTTAGTGGGTTTCTGTAGATCATAAGCATAAGGAGTAGCCGTTGTGTTTTTTAAAAAATTCAGATACTCATACTGAATGGGCAAAAGCTGGAACCATTCCCCTTGAAAACAGGCACAAGACAAGGATGCCCTCTCTCACCTCTCCTATTCAGCATATTGGAAGTTCTGGCCAGTACAATGAGGCAAGAGAAAGAAATAAAGGGTATTCAAATAGGAAGGAGGAAGTCAAACTTTGTTTGCACATGACATGATCCTGTATCTAAAAAACCCTATAACTCAGCCCCAAAGCTTCTTAAGGTGATAAGCAACTTCAGCGAAGTCTCAGGATACAAAATCAATGTCCAAAAATTGCTAGCATTTCTATACACCAACAACAGTCAAGCAGAGAACCAAATCATGAATAAACTCCCATTCACAGCTGCCACAAAAAGAATAAAATACCTACGAATACAGCTAACCAGGGAAGTGAAGGACCTTTTCAAGGAAAACTACAAACCACTGCTCAAAGAAATCAGAGATGACACAAATGCAAAAACATTCCATGCTCGTAGATAGGAAGAATCAATATCGTGAAAATGGCCATATTGCCCAAAGCAATTTATAGATTTAATGCTACTTCCATTAAACTACCATAGACATTCTTCACAGAATTAGAAAAGAACTATTTTAAAATATGGAACCAGAAAGGTGCCAGAATAGCCAAGACAATCCTAAGCAAAAAGAAGAAAGCTGGAGGCATCATGCTGCCTGACTTCAAACTATCTACAAGGCTACATTACCCAAAACAGCATAGTCCTGGTACAAGACTAGACACATAGACCAATGGAACAGAGTAGAGAACCCAGAAATAAAACCAAACACCTACGACCATCTGATCTTTGACAAACCTGACAAAAACAAGAAATGGGGAAAGGATTCCCTATTTAATAAATGGTGCTGGGAGAACTGGCTAGCAATATGCAAAAAAAATGAAACTCGAACCCTTCCTTATACCATATACAAAAATCAACTCAAGATGAATTAATGACTTAAATGTAAAACCCAAAACTATAAAAACCCTAGAAGAAAACCTAGGCAATACCATTCAGGACATAGGCATAAGCAAAGTTTTCATGACAAAGATCCAAAAAGCAATTGCAACAAAAGCAAAAGTTGACAAATGGGATCTAATTAAAGAGATTCTGCACAGCAAAATAAACTAGCACAGCAAAATAAACTATCAACAGAGTGAACAGACAATGTACAGAATGGGAGAAAATTCTTGTAATCTATTCATCTAACAAAGGTCTAACATTCAACATCTACAAGGAACTTAAAACAAATTTACAAGAAAACAACAGACAAGCCCATTGAAGAGTGAGCAAAGAACATGAACAGACACTGCTCAAAAGAAGACATGCATGCGATCAACAAACTTATGAAAAAAAGTTCAACATAACCTATCATTAGAGAAATGCAAATCAAAACCACAATGAGATACTATCTTACACCAGTTAGAATGACTATTATTAAAAAGTTGAAAAAACAACAGATGCTGCCAAGGTTGTGGAGAAAAAGAAACACTTCTACACCGTTGGTGGGAGTGTAAACTAGTTCAACCATTATGGAAAACAGTGTGGCGATTCCTCAAAGACCTAGAGTCAGAAATACCATTTGACCCAGCAATCCCATTACTAGGTATATACCCAACGGAATATAAATTATTCTATTATAAATATACATGCAGATGTATGTTCATTGCAGCACTATTCACAATAGCAAAGAGATGGAATCAACCTAAATGCCCATCAATGATAGACTGGATAAATAAAATCTGGTACATATATACCATGGAATACCATGTAGCCCTAAAAATGAACCAGATCATGTCCTTTACAGGGACATAAATGAAGCTGGAAGCCTTTATCCTCAGCAAACTATCACAGGAACAGAAAACCAAATACCACATGTTCTCACTTATACGTGGGAGCTGAATGATGAGAACAAATGAACACATTGTCAGGGGAACACACACTGGGGCCTTTCGGAGGGTGGGGGTAGGAGGAGGAAGACCATCAGGAAGAATAGCTAATGAATGCTGAGCTTAATTCCTAGGTGATTGGATGATCTGTGCGGCAAGCCACCATGACACACGTTTACCTATGTAACAAACCTGCACATCCTGCACATGTACCCCAGAACTTAAAATAAAAGTTGGAAAAAAAATTCAGATGTTTAGGCCCTTCTTCAGAATTACCAAATAGAAATTTGTGGGGTAAGACCTAGGAATCTGATTTTTTTTGCCCAAACCTTACCAAATCCTTGAAGTAGCCTTGTACATTAACCTCTGGGAAGTGCTGCTTATAGGGTCATAGGCAAGAATCAAGGGGAGAGGAAAAAGGAAAGTCATGGAGGAGTAAACAAGGGTCATCCGTTGGTTCTTTGAGAGCAGTTGACTTCAGATGTCTCATATGCCATGCTACATTAAGTCTCAATTCTTTGAAGACAACATGATGAGAGTTAAATGGAGAGTTAGGTGCACAGAATAGGGTGAGGGTGGAGGGTGCAGGAACCTGCTTTATCAGCAGTTTTGCAGACAAAACTTAGGATGGAAAGTTAAGAAATTTCATTTATATTCTTACTTCCTACATGAATTTTGAAAAAAAAATCATTTCACTGTTAGCTCTAAAGGAATAAAAAATAATAGTTGCACCCTTCCAGCCTCAGATAAATATTCATATGAACAATTAAGAAATATTTCAAAGAACTCTGGCATATCTTCAGAAATGAGACTCTCTTCACAGGCCTACAACTTGTTATTATATTGTTCCCTTTCACTAAACTATTCTACGCCCTCTCCCTTTTCTTGCATGTGAAGTAAATATTGATAGATTTCCTCACAAACTAACACTATTTTCACAGAATACCTAATATTGTCACTAGACATATAATTAATAAGAAATATTTAATATTATTGGTAAATTGCTAACATTTTATTTCCACTTCATGTTCACCCCAATTTTTCTTTATTGAGCAAATATGCTTGAGTCTCTGTTCATTCAAGATACTGGTAGACCCTAGTCAAGAAGTGATGTGCTAAACAGACATCATCATGAAGTTTACAGGATAATATCAGAAACAAACATGAAACAGATATTCAAACAAATACATTATTCAAAAAGTTAATGCTGCCAACAAAAAGTATAGGGTGCTCTCAGAGAATCTAATCTGCAGGGTGCTAATAGAGTAATCTAATAAGGAAATCAGTAAGGAACCTCTTAGAGGGTATGCCATTTGAGGAGGATAAAGGATAAATTTGTTAACATTTGCCCACAAGAATTGAAAGCAATCCAGACAGAAGAGAATGTAAATAAAAATCTTGAAAGCAGTCCAGTGTGGATAGAGCATAAGAGAGAAAGTAGCTGGGAAAGAAGCTGAAGATGAAGATGAGTGACAGCATAAGCTTAAAGAATATGTGAGGCCAGGCATGGTGGCTCATGCCTGTGATTCCAGCAGTTTGGGAGGCCCAGGCAGGAGGATCTCTTGAGCTTAGGAGTTCAAGATCAGCCTGGGCAACATAACAAGTTCCCGTCTTTACAAAAATTTTTGTAAAAATTAGCCAGGCATGGTGGTGGCTGTGGTCCCAGCTAATTGGGAGGCTGAGGCAGGAGGATTGCTTAAGCCAAAGAGATCGAGGCAGCCGTTAGCTGTGTTTGCATCACTGCACTCCAGCCTGGGCAACAGAGTGAGAACCTGTCTAAACAAATTTTTTTTTTAAATAATAAGTGAAAGAAGTGGGAAGTCCCTTAAGGGCTTTAAACAGAGGAGTGACTGGATTTTTTGACTGCCCTATGGAGAAGGAATGAGGCAGGAGCAGGAATAAACAGGGAGAACATTGGAAGCATTTTTATCCTAGGTAAAGGATAACAGTGACTTGATGTAGGGTCTTCTAGTGAAGTTCATGAAAATTGGTCAACTATAAAATACATTTTGTGGCCAGGCATGGTGGCTCACGCCTGTAATCCTAGCACTTTGAGAGGGCTCACCTGAGGTCAGGAGTTCAAGACCAGCCTGGGCAACATGGTGAAACCCCATCTCTACAAAAATACAAAAATTAGCTGGGTGTGGCGGCGGGCGCCTGTAATCCCAGCCACGCAGGAGACTGAGGCAGAAGAATTGCTTGAACCCGGGAGGCAGAGGTTGCCGTGAGCTGAGATTGTGCCACTGCCCTCCAGCCTGGGCGACAGAGTGAGACTGTCTCAAAAAAAAAAAAAAAAATTTTGCATGAGAAACCACCTAAATCAGTGATCAGTTGGTTGTATGGTGGCTGGAACGAGAAGGACCTAGTATAACCCAGAGATAAGAATACTGACCTATCTGGAGTTTTCTTATTTTTAATATGACCATGTATGGCTGAACAACGGGTTTGAATAACCCTAGAGGAACCTTGACCTAGAGATGAGCCTAACCATAGTGGTGAAATAGAACTTGCTGCCAGGAGTTAGGAAAAGTGCATTTCAGGACATAGAGTACAGTGTTGAAAAGGAATCACAATAGATGTTAGTTTTGGAAGCTGTGGTGTCAGAGACAAAGCGTGCTGTTAGGGATGCATTTAGCAATCCTGGATGGGAGGCAGAGAGGCAGGCAAGAAGACAGACAGACAGGTGGCATCTGAAAGTCCCCCTCAGACCAGGCAACAGGCTTTGAATGTCAAGGCAAGACTACAATCCCTCTCTTTGTCGCAAGCGTGGGTAAACCCAGAGGACCTAAAGTATTGGGAAACTAACCAAGAGAGGGAATTGAATCCACAGAGGGAAAGGCAGGGGCCCAGTTCTTCAGAGCTTCATGTGAGAATGAAGGCAAGACAAATTTCAAAACAACAGCAAGACCAGTGGCACAGATGACAAAGCTCAGTGTCAGATGGTTGGACTAGAGAAAACTATCTAGGTAAATCTTGCCCTAGAACCTACAGGGCTCTGGATGGGGGTTAGGAAACCCCAGCTGTTAGAGAACAGGGAGCAGAGGATAGACAGACACCTACAAGTGAAAAATACTGAAAGAAAAAACTTCAATTAATGGGTGATACTGACACTTATTATGTCTCTTGAGGAATATTAAAAGAGTAAACCTACAGATCATTAGTCTGCATTGTTCTGCCACAGACAGTTTCTTGCCTCAATGCCCAATGTCTGTACTAACCACAACACTAACCTTTTAATCCTCTAATATTGTGGAAGGAGCTGTTTTCTAAAACGTTTAAGACCACCATATCATCCAGTTTGTCCCATCTGTGGCTCTTTCTGTTCATTTAAGAAATAAAATGATCATTGTTTTATTCCTGCCAATGACAGACATGGAAGGCAACTGGTGCTCTCTGCTGAGGCATGTGGCAGCAGCAGTAGAAGGTACTGTGGTTGAAAGAGCTGCAAAGCCCTGTATTCTGATTGCTCCCATTTCCCTCTCAGCGTATCTGAAGAGCCAGAGAATATTTCCAATCATCGAACTATGAATTATCCTTTTCAAAAGACTACCAGACAGCCAAAAAAGATAAATGTCTTCTGGACATAAGAAATTTTGATAGAGACTCTGCAGGTCCATAAACTCTCTGGCTCAAAATCCATGTGAGGGGAGGTTGTAATAGAGTCAGATGGTCTATAATTTCACCCACAATGTTTATGGAAAAATATCTTGTTTGGATATATATTTTCCTCATCAGGATAAGCAGATATAAAAGATATGTGAGTATATTGGCAAATGCTACATAAAAGAAATATAGCAGCATTTAAGCTGCAAGGACATACCTTGGAAAAGGTTTATTATCAGAAATTTAAAGCACATTTTTTAAAGCATCTGCTTGTGTCGTTAGTACAATTTTTAAAATATGGTCTCTGGTACAAAAAGAAAATACAAGATGAAATATCAACAGATTGACAAAAGAAGGATGTTAATTGAAAGGAGGAAGGTAAAAATTGAAGTGACAGATATAATAACAAGAACTCTCTCCATGAGGAAAAAATTACTGAAAGATGTACATATATACAGCTAAGAGATTAATTCACATAAAAGACTAAAGAATGCTCAGTGTTAGACATTATAAATGGTGAAATCAAATAAATTGAACTAAATATTCTAAATAGGTTTTGAAACAAAATACAAAGGAAATTCATAAGATAGAATATATAACATGTGAAAATGACCATAATAATCTACATCTCAAATTTCTGATTATAAAAACCTCGTTTCACCCAACTGAGAGGTGAATGAGAGCTAAAGGAAGCAAAGTAAAATAATACTAATATTCAGAATTCTATCAGGTGGTATCAAAGCATTATTTGGTTTGCGAAATTGATCATTGGAATTTATTTTTAACTTTTATGTATCTGTAAAATTTTAAAATAAGATATATATTATATGAAGCGTTAGCAATAAAGGTGAGAACATTGTATTCCATAAGGATCCAGATAAGAAAAAGACAGTAAAGAAGCGTTTTTTAAGTTAAAATTGAAAGGGCAAATGAACAAAGTTTTCAGATATAACAACTTAAAAGTTTTGAATTTGAATGGGTTAAACTGTTCTATTAAAGATCAGTCCAATTATATGTGGTTTCCAAGGGACGTACCTAAGGGAATATGACCTAGAGAGGTAAAAAAAAGGAAGAAAAGAAAAATAGAAAAAGAGACTGGCATAGATACATCATCTAAAGGCAAACAAAAGAAAGATCATAACATTAAAATCAGCTGTATCAGATTTTGAGGCAAAGAAGTCATCATAAATTATAAAAGACTTCAGTTTTATGTTTAAAAATGATATATCCACAATGAAGATATTAGAATCATAAACCTTTATATGAAAAATAACATAGCTACAAAATACTTAAAGTAAAAGCTGTGCTATACAATTTTACAAAATGAAGTTAGAAAAGAAAAAAATTTAGCTTTGAAGAAACATCTCCCAGGTTTTGAATACTCATGTAAGAAAAAAGTAAAAAAGTAAAGGCTATATACTATTCTAATTTATAGATTTTTAAAATAAAGAGATCAAGTATATTCCAAATAAACAGAATATACACTTTATTTTAAAAGCCAATGGATCTTTTGTAAAAACTGGTCATCTAATAGGCCAGAAAAATGTTAAATCAGTTACAAAAAGAAAAGCTGAAGTTGTACACGCCATGTTATTAGATCACAATACAAAATAGCCATTAATAGCTAAAGTTAAAAAGTAATTATTTGGAAATAAACAATGCATGACTCATTAACACAGATCAAAGGGGATTACAGATTCTTTACAAAGCAATACAAATGACAATACTTCATTAAATATTTGGTAGAAGCTTTATGCGCATAAACTATCTGACTCAAAATCAGAGAGGTGGAATGTATTAGCAATAGGTAGATAGTGAATAAGACAATGACAGTGCATCTATAATGTTTATAACAAATACCATGTGTGGATATACTTTTTATCATGGAGATTAAACAGATTTTTAAAAAATGAAAATTTGCATTAATATAGTAAATATAGCACCCACTCGACCACCAAATCTCGTGCAGAGAGTTTTTAAATGCTTTCAATACAAAAAGAAGAAATAAAAGACATACGTACAAATAAAACCCCAACAGAAATAAATTAATCATTCAAACAACCTAGTCAGTTTAAAATGTAGGTTTCATTATTATTCAGGTATTGTGACGCCAAAAATCAGGAGACACTGGCCATTGTATAGACAGTTTGTTCCCAAGAGGAAGGGGTATGCCATGCCACACAAGGCCATGCTGGGAAGCACCAGATTCAGTCAGGAGGCAGAAGGATTTGAGGGGTGATGGAGAGCGTGAGCAAGAGCCTTTATTTTGGTTTCTGCAGCAAGGTAAACAGGTTTAGAATTGGCTTGTTTAAATAATCCCAGCAGACTCTGGGGTATAGGAACTGTCCCTAGTTGTCTAGTATTTGACTCTGGAGTGATTAGGGCAGCGCATAGTGGCCCTGAGTGTGACAGCCTCCTAGAGGAGGTTGTGGGGTGTGAAAGCTCTGCATTGTTGGTTTGCATATGAATCTCACAGTCCTGGGCCAGTCATTTACTATGTAGGATATGGCTACATAGGAGCCAGGAGATGGCTAGTCCTGGAAGGGGTAGGCTTTCCAGGATCAGCAAAACCCTGAGATGTCAAAGCATCAGAATTGCAGGAAATGGAAAGGCATGACTTCATACACTGTTGAACCCAGCAGGTGGTTGAAAGCAGGGTTCCCCCTGCGTCAGGGACCCATCTGGCTGTGTTTCTTTATCTCCCTTCCATAATCATGACAGATGCTGTGACACACTGATACATTCCTAGTTAGGAATAAAGAACTTATTACCAGAGCTGCTGTAAGTGCTGTCAGTAGACAAGTCTCAGCTGAAGAGTTTCCTAGTCCGCATCACTCTTCCTTCCTAGGTGGGCCTCCATCCAATGATTAATCTGTGTAGGACAGGGTTTCTCAATTTAACATTTTGAACAGGATAATTTCTTGTGGTGAGGGCCAATCATGTGCATTGTAGGATGTTTAGCAAATTCCCTGCCCCACCCCCCAGACTAGATACTATTAGCACCCACCCCAGTTATGACAAACAAAATGTCTTCAAACACTGCCAAATGTCTCCTAGGGGGCAAAATCACCTATGGCTCATAATTAATGATGTAATTGATTACATATATTACATTAATAATTACATATATTCAATGACATGTAAATACTTTCAGATTTATATTCCAGCCCAGATCTCTTACCTAAGCTTCAGCCTCTGTATAGCTCACTCCCTATTGCCCATGACATTTTATCAAAAGACTTTACATATTTTATGCTTAAGAATATGAATTTTAGAAGTGGCTGCTTAAGTAAACATCTCATTTACTAGCTTTGTAACATTGAGGTTCTACTAAGCTTTTGTTTCCCTCAGTTTTCTTTCCTCATCTATAAAATGGACACAATAATAGGATCTGCCTCATAGGTTTGTTGTGAGAATCAAATTAATGCATGTAAATACTTCAGAACAATTCCTGGCATATTGCTAGTTTTCAATAATGCTAGCTATTACTATTAGTCAAGTGGTGTCTTGCAGGTACGAAATGCAGTGTGTTCAAGTCCATCTAAATTCCTGATCTGCCAACCCTGGTCATTTTTCTGTATTTAGTATTTCACTAAATGACACCACCAATCACTTACTCAAGCCAGGTGCTTAATCAATGTTACTATTGATTTTTCCATCTCCTTCAGCAACTGCCTCAATCACAAAATCATATTGAATCTGTATTCTTAGAACTGGTTGAATTTGTCAATTGTCTTCATCTCAATTGTCACTATTTTCATTAAAACGTGCTTCTTATTACAAGAACTATTGAAGAAATTGAGAACATGGACTCTGGAGTCACAGAGACTTCAGAATTAGGTTTAAAGTCCAATTCTACCAGCATCATGATATTAAGTAAATGACATTTTCTCTCTTTATCCATTACTCTATTTGTTTAAAACAAACAAACAAAAACAAAACAAAACAAAAGTGATAATGCTTGCATTAAAGAAATGCAAAGAATATTATAAGGAGCACTCTTTGTGTTACCCTAACTTGAAATAAAACAAATAACCATTAATAAGAGACTGAATTAAATAAATTGTGACATTTTTATATAATAGAATACTGCATAGTAATGAAAAGCAAATGGCCACTGCACAATCTTAGAGAATGTTGAGCAAAAAAAAAAATCAAAAACACACAAATCAGTAGGTAGTATTTATAAAAAATTTGAAATAGGAAAGACCCAACTGTATTGTTTAGCAATGTGTACTTAGTGATAAAACTGAAACAATATGTAGTTGTGATTATTATAAAAGTTAAAGACAGGCACAAGACTAAGGAATATTGAGGAGTCTTAGTTTGGGAAGTAACAGCCTGGAGGCTTTGGAGGTGATGACAGTGTTCAGTTTCTCAATCTGGGGGATGGATGCATGATGATTTATATATACATACTATATTTTACTGTATTTAATATTTTGTGCACCTTTCTGTTTGTGTTGTGTTTCATAAATTAGAAATGGTTAGACAAAAGGATAGTGGTAAATGAAAACAATATATAAATACAGATATTTTAAAAAGGTGATTAACACATCACCTTTAACCACATATATAGATACATACATACATACATATGTATGTATAAAGCTTTTGTGAATGAAGAGTTACTATTAAGCCTGCATATCAAGACTGCTTCAGAAAGATCTTAGATTCTCATAGGACTGTTTCCATGGAAACAGTAGTTTTAAGACAAATGAGGAATGTTTTGACTGGCTCATTTGTTTTGCGGAACACAACATCTGCCTCAGGTTAGAGGGGCTGTGAGTTTTCATGCACATGGGCTTTGAGCCTGTGGGATAACTATGGTATAAAAAGTTGGTGGGAAATAGAGGCTGTAGCTTCCATGTTTCAAGGTTGCACACACATCTTGGCAATCATTTGTGGCAGCCATGCATACATATGTGTGTGAGGATGTAAAGGAAATCTTTTTTTTTTTTTTTACTACTTTTTTGTACTTGGGTAGCTGCTGAGATGAGGTGATGATGAGATGAAGATGGTACACCTGTTTCATGTATTGCCTATTTCCTTCTATAATGCTAAGTAAACAGTATTATATTAAAGCTTGCCTGTGTCTCCTGACTCAGCTTGCTAGCCGAAGACAAATGCTGTGCTAGACAATGGTGTCAGAAGTAGCCTTGGCTTTCAGGCCCTTGAGTCAAATCATTGTGATGCAGGAAATAGGACAGGATAGGGTTGGGGAGCAGATTTTGATGAACATTTCATGCCTGGATGGCTGAGTTACCTAGATTTATCTCCTAGGAAACCGTTAAAATGGATAGTCAAAGAAAGGCAAGGGGAGGGGGCAGTTAAAGATATAAGAAAAGGGTGAATCAGATACAGCTGTCATTAGGTGGCTGTTAAGACACAGGATGAAAAGATAAGAAATTTATTGTTAAGACACAAGATGAAAAGATAAGAAATTTATTGAATTATCTGAAAAGATTTACTGGCTCATTATCACCAGTTGGGAAAAGGAACATTTGCTCCGTATCTGCCAGCTGCCTTCCTTAATGAATCCCATGAGATATGATCCCTTTAAGCCAATCTGTGTGAGTTTAACCCAGATTAGTCAGTCCTTTCTCTGGGAATAATCTGGCCTAGGGCCACTAGAAGCATTTCACAAACAGTAAAGAACAAATTGTCCTGACTCGTTTTTACTAGTAAAAGAGGCACAAAGGCTCAAAGGGCTGTTTGGATTCTGGAGGACACATACGTTGGCCCCAGTATACAAAGAGACTAGAAAAAGAAATGGATTTGAATGAGATCCAGAGAAGAAGGCAAGTCAAGCTGTCCCTTTGGTATTATGTTTTATAAACCTGACATTACCAGTAGTTTTAGAGAAGTCCACTACTAAAAAATCCAATGATGCTGTAAGAACAAAAGTTGTGAATAAACTTTGTGCTAAGAAAAGTGCTGAATAAAAAGTGTGCTAAATAAACACCATTGGTAGAAACAGTAGAAACCAATAAAGATTAACTTGAAGGCTAGGATATTTTGTCCTATCCCACAGATCAGTTCAAAGACCATGTGCTTTGGTTAAAGTCGAATATCCTAGGGTTGGTGAACAAAACATTTTGAGACAATTGAATATCGGTACATAAAGTACTATAATACATGTAGGGAGCAAAAACACAATGTTAAGAAGCCAAAGAGGAAGCTAAGGGCTGGGGTGGGAAGGAGATACTGTGAGGGAAGACTCCAAGGCCCTAGTAGAGCACCAGAGAGGAACATGATAAGGAAATAGTGGAAATAGATAAGAATAGTGCTGCTATTCTCTGCTTGAATGAATAACTGGAAAGGTTATGAAGCAAAAGCAGAAGGTCTTGCCCTTCTTAGTGGTCTATAGCTGAATGCTAGGGATTTGCCCTTTGCCAGGTTTTTATCAGATCTGTTAAGTGGGAGGCTTTACAATTGCCCTTTTCTGTAGTAAATACTAAACTGCATCATTTTCCAGGAAAGTAGCAGGAAATCTCAGTCATGATTAAAGAGGTCGTGGAAACAGTTGTGCTCATCCCCATCAATTCTCTTCACGTTAGTCCTGTCTGTCCTGTGAGAAAATGCAGAATTAAGTGAAACAATTTTCCCCAAAGTCTCTGTTATGCCAGACATGATTAAAAACTACCAGGAGGTTCGGCAGGGAATGTGCTTTGATAATAGAATCTGGAAAAAATGCCAAGCATCATTTTTATCTGCATGAGAGATATTTCATTACATATACTTTACTATCTTCCTCTAAGGTTATGCACATTCTCCAGGATTTAGCTACTGCCCTATAAGACAAGATTTGAGTCTCTTCATTTCTGAAAGCCCATTGATTCATGAAGCTGATGATACGATGATACCTCCCCTCTCAGAAAGTAAGCTGAGAATGGAGGCAAGGAGGATTTACAAACAATAGCTGCAATAGGACTAGATAAGGATGTCTAAAAAATCTGATTAAGATTCAGGACCCAGATTGGTCAGTCTTTTCTCTAGGAATACTCTGGCCACTAGAGGCACTTCACACACAGTAAAGAACAAATTGTCCTGACCCATTTTTACTAGCAAGAGAGGCACAAACTCTCAAAGAGTTGTTTGGATTCTAGGACACATATGCCATATTTGGAAATCCTGTTGGCCCCGATATACAAAGTGACTAGAAAAAGCAATGGATTTGAATGATATCCAGAGCAGAGGGTAGGCCAAGCTGTCTTTTTGGGATTTTATAATCCTGATACAACCAGCAGTTTTAGAGAAGTCCACTACTAAAATACACATAGACTGGAGTCCCTAGCCAAAGCCTTAGAATGCTACTTATAGGTGGTTGCAGGAGTTCTGGACTAAAAAAAATTCATGATATTGTGTCTGAGAACAGCCTATTTGAGATACAGGCATTAGCATGCTTTTTGGCTCTAGTAAGAAACAGCCCTCATACCCAAAGAGCATCAGATTACATTGCATTACCTATGGTGACTTGAGGCTTGAGTTATCTACAGTCTCATGGGTGATATAAAAAGAGATTCCAATAGAAAGGGAGTTGTACAACAAGTTCCCTGGTAAAATATGAATGATATATGATACAGTTTGGCTGTATCCCCACACAAATCCCATCTTGAATTGTGGCTCCCATAACTTCCACATACTTTCTCATAATTTCTACATGTCGTGGGAGGGACCCAGTGGGAGATAACTGAATCATGATAGCAGTTTCCCTATGCTATTCTCATGATAGTAAGTTCTTATAGATCTGGTGGTTTTATAAGGGACTTCCCTCTTCACTTGGCTCTCATTCTTCTCCTTCCTGCCACCATGATTTTAAGTTTCCTGATGCCTTGTCAGCCATGCTGAAAAATTAAACCTCTTTTCTTTATAAATTATCCAGTCTTGGGTGTGTCTTTATTAGCAGTGTGAGAACGGACTGATAAAATATATTTGGGAACATGCTAAAAAAGATAGACTCTGAGGAAATGCACTCTATCCATGAGCAGGTAACATCTCTGCCTCTACAGTGGCACTCTGGAGGAGCTACCCACTCTTATTGCCAAAGGTTCTGAACCCTGCTGAGACAAAATATCTGACTTATTTGCTAATGAGAGTCCTTGCACTGAATGATGGGACTCTATATGGAAGGCTACAGCTAACCTCCAATGTACTGTAAAAATCTGAGCTGAAGACACAATGATAAGCATACACAGTGGCCTGAATAGAGGTCAGTATATGTTATATGTTAATGGTTCAGGAAGAACTTGGTTCTTGGCCTCAGGCTTGTGTCTAAATATTAAAGCCTCCTGGGCTTTCCCTAGGACTGTGTTGCAGTGTCAGACAGGCAAATGCTTCCTTGATACATAGATACACAAGATTATCTTCATGTGAAGAGATGCAATTGTGGAAGTCTTTATGGAAACTCCTGGGGAGAAGCACATTTCTAGATGCCTACAAAGAACAGCCAGTAGTGTCTCAGAGGAGCGCTAGAAAGCCAAAGTAGATGCCCTGGTCTCCCAAAGGAGAAAATCAGTTGAGTGTATGAGATGAGCTGTCACAGTGGTGCTCAAGCCATGCCACGACAATTGGAAGCAATGGCATAGACCAGTGCTACCCAGAAAAGCCATTACTATTGTGACAGGCTGTCCTGAATGCGATCAAGAAGAAAAAAAAGTCCAAAAATGGCACTGGAGAGAATTCCCTGAGGTCAATGGCAAGCACATCACTGGCAGATGGATTATACTGAACCCAGTTCATTACTCCTGGAGTATTCCAATGAGTCTTTCTGGGGATAGATGAGTGTTTTGAGTCCCCCCACTATATTTCATAGGGAATGAATTTCACCATGGCCAAGTTTCCAAAATGAGACAAAAAGAACCATATGTAATGGACATATACTCCTACCAGCCACATAGGAGTGGCTTAATTAAAAATTGGAATAGTCAACTAAAACATTCATTTTGAAAGACAGAGGATGCTAAGGAAGTGAAGGATAAGAAGGGCTGGCTGGGAAGCTTATAAGGGGGTATGTGCTTCACCTAAACATGGGAGACATTGAGGGCGGAACAGCCTTAAGAAAGCTTTTTGTGTACCAGGAATAAAGGGTTGGGAAATGATACTGTGACATAAATCTTCGTCTTTCATACCTTACAAACCTTTCCTTTTCTGTTATCAGATCAAGTGCATTAGACAAACATTGCATTTGCCCTTCTTCCAACGAAAGGGAGCATACTACTTAAGATACTTTATTCCTTTGCACTTGGGTATATGTTTTCCTAAGGACATGTAGACAGTTATTTTGCCCAGTGTGACCAAGGTAGGACTGACCCTAAGTGCTGCTTTATTGCCTAGTGGTAGAGGAGGACCTGTTATCTTTTACCTTTGCAAACCTATCATCTATTTATAAGAGTGGGAAAAGGATTTGGTGAGGCTTTATTTTTATCTGGAGGGAAGAAAAGTCATTTGGGACATTATCCTGTACAAAACCTATGGGAGAGGGCCTGTATGCTCATCCAGGAAGTGCTCTCTGCTACACTTTATTTCTATTGTGTTTAAAGGAAAATGCCTGAGTGCTTTAGAAGTCCAAGCCGGACAGATGCAATATTAAAATGGTAAGGACCACCTGAACTATAGCAGGATGTCACTGGAACAAGTGATCCTGTTATCGTTCCCTTACAATATATACACCATGAATTTAAAAAGAGCCAGCATTTCCTGTGATGCAGTTAGTGGCCATCAAAAGACCAACACTGTGTCCTCTCTATAGGGTGAATTGGTTGTGCTCTACTTTTATATGTGGGAACCAGTGTCAATAAAATCCTGCTTCTTCATAGCAGAGGTATGATTAGGCCCCCAGGACAGAAAGAATTCTGGATTTACTGAATATTCTAGTGACTATTCCTGTCATTGAAAATGTATGGCATATGGGCAAGAGATAGTTCTGTTGGGAAGGATGAGGAAATTATACTGTAATAAAAATAAGTGTTTGGTGTGCTATGTATTACTTTAATATCTGCTGCTATCTGCTGTAATGTTAACAAGTAGTTTGTGTGCTAAGCATTACTTTAATCTCTCATCTACTGCTATTTGGTATAATAAAGTATTTTATGGCCTCATATATGGAAATTAAAGGAAATAAAATGTATAATGATCATGACCCCTCAGGATCAAAAGATATTTTGAGAAACTGATTTGAGATCCCCACTTGATGATAACCCCATAGAAACTAATTGTCCTTAGAGAAACTAAACACACGTCTAAGTGTCCCTAAAAACTTTTAAAAGATATATGTGATATTGAGTGAGAGGGAGACTGTAATTCACTAATAAGGCATCAAAAGACTTGTCTAGTATGTCGGTTAAGATGAACATGTTTTGGGAAGAAGATAACTATACTAACAGTACAAACTTGGTGGTCACAAGTGTAGTAGTTTGTTTTTTCCTGTGTACAAAATATTAGAGATGTGCCTATCAGAAAAAATACCAAGGAACATTTAAGGAGTATGTTTTGTGAAACATTGACTTGAGGTCATGGAGATGAAACTGTAAGTAAGAATTTAACATTAGCCTGGTCTGATATGGACTTCTCGGAGAGTGACCTCAGTTTCCCATAGCACTCTTGTTTTGGGAGGAATGAAGCAACAAAAATGAGAAATGGTATTTCTGTATGTTGAATGAAGTCAGCTCTGGGTTAGGAGAGCTACAAGTGGGCATGCATGTTTGGGCCTATAGACTTGAACAGCACAAAGGATTACTGGAAAGCACAGCCTGTTGCTTTTACCTGTCAAGGTGATCTACACACATCTTGACTCTCATCCATGGAAACTAAATATCCATGTAGTGAGGCAGACAACCTGTGTACTTGGAAGTTGCTGAGCAAGAAAAAGATAAGTTGAAGATGCTCTAGTTGCTATAGTTTCTGCCTGTATCCTGTCAAAAAATAAACAAATGTAGCAATAGATTAAAGCTGATCTCTGTCTTAGGAGTCGGCTTGCCACCTTGAACCTGGAACTGTAGCTGTGGTTCTTTGGTATTTATTTCTCCCCAAAACAGAAATAACTTTACACTTAAAAAAGTCTCCATTTAGTTTTTATAACAATAATTTTTATAAAGAGCTTTTGTTCTTTATTACAAAAGTTTTCTATTTCTAACAAATGCTATGCCAAAAATAGTTAAATTGTATGAGCTAATATATGAAAAGTTATCTTTTTACTAATATATTCAAAGTATTCACTTACTCACTGCCACAGGGTAAGATTCATTAAGTGGTAGTAATTTTTTAAAAGCCTCGCAAATGTATCTATGGTTGAAAACCTCCAAATACTTCTCCCCTTTATAGCTAAACACAAAAATCTATCAATGCTCTCAAGAAAACATCTATTCACTATATAACCAGTCCTAAATCCTTTCTTGTAGTTGTCACTCATAATCTCTGTATTCCTATCTATTAATTAGTAGATAAATAGGTATTTAAAAATATTTGTGTTTCCAAATTTGCATTTCCTCTTTTCCCTTGTTCTTTATCAAGTTTTCTCCTTTCTTTACAATCACCCACTTTCACCTTAAACCTTCCCTAGGGAGGCCAACATTCAAATTCAGGATATGCAGAGAACCTCTGCAAGATACTACACAAGGAGACCATCCCCAAGACACATAATCATTAGATTCTCCAAGGTGAAAAGGAAAGAAAAAATTTTAATGGCAGCCAGAGAGAAGGGGCAGGTCACCTACAAAGGGAAGCTCATCAGGCTAACAGTGGACTTTCCAGCAGAAACCCTACAAGCCAGAAGAGATTGGGGGCCTATATTCAGCATTTTTAAAGAAAAAAATTTCAAACCAAGAATTTCATATCCAGCCAAACTAAGCTTTGTAAATGAAGGAGAAATAAGATTATTGTCAAACAAGAAAATGCTGAGGGAAATAAGTACTGCCAAACCTGCCTTACATGAGGAAAAGAACACTAAATATGGAAAGGAACATCATTACCAGCCACTGCAAAAATACACTTAAGTACACAGACCAGTGATACTATAAGCCAACCACACAAAAAAAGACTGCATAATAACCAGCTAACAACACAATGACTAGATCAAATCTGCACCTATCAATGCTAACCTTGAATGTAAAAGGGCTAAATGCTTTAATTAAAAGGCACAGCATGGCAAGCTGGATAAAGGAACATGATCCAATGGTATACTGTCTTCAAGAGACCCATCTGCTATGCAATGGCTTCTATAGGGTCAAAATAACAAGATGAAGAAAAATCTACCGAGCAAATGGAAAACAGAAAAAAAGCAGGGGTTGTAGTTTTAATTTCAGACAAAACAAACTAAACCACCAATGATCAAAAAATACAAAGAAGGGCATTTTATAATGATAAAGGGTTCAATTCAACCAGAACACCTAACTATCCTAAATATGTAGGCACCCAAAACAGGAACACCTAGATTCATGAAGAAAGTTCTTAGAGATCTACAAAGAGACTTACATTCCCACACAATAATAGTGGAAGGTTTCAACACCCCACTGACAGTATTAGACAGATTATTGAGGCAGGAAATTAACAAAGATATTCAGGACCTGAACTCCTGAACTCAATGTTTGACCAAATAGACCTAATAGACATCTGCAGAATACTCCAACAAAAACAACAGAATTTACATTCTTCTTATCACCACATGGCTTATACTCTAAAATCAACTGCACAATTCAACATAAAATCATATTCAGCAAATTTTTAAAAAATGAAATCATACCAACCACCCTCTCAGACCACAAAACAATAAAAATAGAAATCAATAATAAGAAAATTACTGAAACCCATACAATTACATGGAAATTAAACAGCTGCCCCTGAAATACCTTTGGGTAAATAATAAAATTAAGTCATTAATGAAGACATTCTTTGAAACTAATGAGAGCAAAGGTACAACATACCAGAATCTTTGGGACATAGCTGAGGCAGTGGTAAAAGGGAAGTTTATATCACTAAACGTCAGTATGAAAAAAATTAGAAAGATTTCAAATTAAAAAGCTAACATCACAATGAGAAGAACTAGAGAAGCAAGAGCAAACCAAACCCAAAGCTAGTAGAAGACAAGAAATAACCAAAATCAGATCTGAACAGAAGGAAATTGAGACATGAAAAACCATACAAAAGATCAATGAATCTAGGAGTTGGTTCTTTGGAAAAAATCAATAAGATAGATAGGCCACCCACTAGACTAATAAAGAAAAAGAAAGAGAATATTCAAATAAAGACAATTAGAAATGACAAGACATTACTGCTGACTGCATAGAAATACAAAAAAAAAAAAAAAAAAAAATCAGAGACTACTATGAACACCTCTATGCACACAAACTAGAGAATTAAGAAGAAATGCTTAAATTCCAGGACAAAAACAGCCTCCCAAGATTGAACCAGGAGGAAATTGAAACCCGGAACAGATAAATAACAATTTCCAAATCCAAATTAGTAATAAAATGCCTACGAATAAAAAAGAAAAAAACTAAGCTCAGACAGATTCACAGCCAAATTCTACCAGAAGTATAATGAAAAACCCGTACCATTTTGACTGAAACTACTCCAAAAAATTGAGGATAAGAGACTCCTCCCCAATTTATTCTATGAGGCCAGCATTATTCTGATACCAAAACCAGGCAGAGACAGAACAACAACAATAAAAAGACTTCAGGCTAATATATTTGATGTATATATATTTCAAAATCCTCAACAAAATACTAGCAAAATAAATCCAGCACACATCAAAAAATTAATCCACCATGATAAAGTAGGGTTTGTCCCTGGGAAGCAAGGATGGCTCAACATATAGAAATCAATGAATGTGATTCGTCACGTAAACAGAACTAAAAACAAAAACCACATGATTATCTTAATAGATGAAGAAATGCTGTCAATAAAATTCAACATCCCTTCATGTTAAGAACCCTCAATAAACTAGGTATTGAAGGAACATAATTCAAAATAATAAGAGTTATTTATGACAGGCCAGGTACAGTGGCTCAAGCCTGTAATCCCAGCACTTTGGGAGGCTGAGGCGGGCAGATCATTTGAGGTCAGGAGTTTGAGATCAGCTTGGGCAACATGGTAAAACCCCGTTTCTACTAAAAATATAAAAAATTAGCCAGTGTGGTGGTGCACGCGTGTAACCCAGCTACTTGGGAAGCTGAGGCAGAAGAATTGCTGGAACCCGGGAGGTGGAGGTTGCAGTGAGCCAAGATTGTGCCACTGCGCTCCAGCTTCGGCACCACCAACATAATACTGAATGGGCAAAAGCTGGAAGCATTCACCCTAAAAACTGACACAAGACAAGGATACCCTCTCTCACCACTCCTATTCAAGATAGTATTGGAAGCCTGGCCAGGGCAATCAGCCAAGAGAAAGAAATAAGTGGCAACCAAATAGGAAGAGAGGAAGTCAAACTATTCCTGTTTACAGACAACATGATTCCACACCTAGACAACCCCATAGTCTCAGCCCCAAAGTTCTTTGATCTGATAAACAACTTCAGCAAAGTTTTAGAATACAAAATTAACATACAAAAATCTATAGCACTTCTATACACCAATAACATACAAGATGACAGCCAATTCAGGAATGCAATCCCTTTCACAATGGGGACAGAAAATAATAAAATAGGAACACAGCAAGCCAGGGAGGTGAAAGATCTCTACAAGCAGAATTGCAGAACACTGGTCAAATAATGAAACAATGAAACAAATGAATGGAAGGACATTCCATGCTCATGGATAGGAAGAATCAATATTGTTAAAATGACCATAGCCCAAAGAAATTTACAGATTCAATGCGATTTCCATCAAACTACGAATGATATTCGTCACATAATTAAAAAATAAAACTGTTTTAAAGTTCATGTGAAACCAAAAAAGAGCCTAAATAGCCAAGGAGATCCTCAGCAACATGAACAAAGCTGGGGTATCACGTTACCTGACTTCAAACTATGCTACAGGGCTACAATAACTAAAACAGCATGGTACAGTAAACAAACACATAGACCAATGGAACAGAACAGAGAGCCCAGAAATAGAGCTGCACACCTACAGCCATCTGATCTTTGACAAAGCTGACAATATCAATCAATGGGGAAACGACCCCCCATTCAATAAATAAATGGTGCTGGGATAAATGGCTAGCCATTTGTAGAAGATTAAAACTAGACTCCTACCTTACATCGCATACAAAAATCGAGTCAAGATGGATTAAAGACTTAAACATAAAACCTAAAACTATAAAAACTCTGAAAGGTACCCTAGGAAATGCCATTCTGGACATAGGACTTGGCAAGGATTTCAAAACAAAGACACCAAACGCATTTGCAACAAAACCAAAAATTGACAAATGGGAACCTGTTAAACCAAAGACCTTCTGCACAGCAAAAGAAACTATCAACAGAGTAAACAGACAACCTACAGAATGGGAAAAATATTTGCAAACTATGGATCCAACAAAGGTCTAATATACAGAATCTATAAGGAACTTAAACAAATTTATAAGCAAAAAACAATCCCATAAAAAAGTAGTCAAAGAACCTAAGTAGACACTTTTCAAAAGAAGACATGCATGTGCCCAAGAAGCATGTTAAAAAATGCTCAACATCACTAATTATTAGAGAAATGCAAATCCAAACCATGAGATACCATCTCACATCAGTCAGAATGGCTACTACTAAAAAGTCATAAAATAGCAGATACTGCTGGGGTGGAGGAGAAAAGGGAATGCTTATTCACTGCTGGTGGGAGTGTATATTAATTCAGCCATTGTGGAAGGCAATGTGGCATTTCCTCAAAGAAATTAAAACAGAATTACCATTCGATTCAGCAATCCCATTATTGGGTATATACCCAAAGGAATATAAATTATTCTATCGTAGAGACACATGCACACATATGTTCATTGCAGCACTATTCACAATAGCAAAGACATGGAATCAACCTAAATTTCCATCAATAGTAGACTGGATAAAGAAAATGTGGTGCATATGCACCATAGAATACAATGAAGCCATAAAAAAGAATGAGATAATAATTTTTGCACTAACATGGTTGGAACCAGAGGTCATTACCCTAAGCAAACTAATGCAGAAATGGAAAACCAAATATATCATGTGTTCTAATTTATAAGTCAGAGCTAAATAGTAAGACCTCAGGGACACAAAGACAGAAACAATAGACACTGGGGTCTAATTATGGTGGAGGATGGGAGGATATAGAGGATCAGAATAAATATCTGTCAGGTAGTATGCTTATTACTTGAGTGACAAAAAAATCTGTGTGCCAACCCCCCATGACACACAGCTTACTTATATAACAAACCTTGACATGTACCCCTACACCTAAAATAAAAGTTAAAAAAAACTTTCCCCACCCTTGATCACCTCAGTTTTAAGGACATACTTTGTTATAAGTATTTAAGCTTTATCATAGCAAGAATGAATTACTTCTAAAGACCTTCTGCTTTTCTTTGATCTAACTTTATGATCATCGTATGATTTTCCAACCATTTGATTTATTTTTCAAATATTTCTTTCAAGCACTTTGATATAATCAAGTGCCCAACTGGTAGGCACAAGAATTCTGGTGACTAGTCTAGTATGTCAGTGTCCACATGTTAACATTTGAAATTAAACATCAGTGCTTAATGACTGTATTAATGTCAACCAGCACCTGAAGACCTTGTAAATCTAAAAGAATTGAAAAGCCCATTTCTTGCATTCACAAACTTAAGGACTATGCCATGAGCACGAAAGTATCACGGCTAGCGAAGCTGCCTTTTTAATGTTATCTCCCTCTAACTGCTCTAGTCAGGCTTATATTTTTTTATTAACATATGTCTCCATAATTACATTTTCCTTACAATGAAGTTAATACCACTTTTATTCAATTTATCTAAGTCAAAGAGAACTTTACAAATAGGTACACATAAAATGTTTAAAATAAATAATTACAAATAAACACAAAATTTAGTTATTGCTCCCACATGGAAGAGATATAGAGTTGTTGTTAGGACTATGGACTCTGGAGTCATAAAATCTTGCTTGTGTCTCAGATCCACCTTTGTATTCATGTGACCTGGGACACTTAAATTTGTGTTTCAGTTTCTTTATGTGTAAATTGGGAACACTAATCATAGCATCTTCATCATGGTATGGGTGTAGGGAATAAGTAAAATAATGGATGCCAAATGTTGAGAAGAGTGCCTGGCTCATAGAAATAAATTTTAACCCACTAAATATTAACCATAACATATTTTCAGCTGTCTTTTAATATAGGACTTGGGTTGCTGAAGTCATAAAATGATATTACAAATAAGGACTTCAGTAGCAAGGGAAGCTTTGGGATGTGGGTAACCAGGAATTCTGCTTAAGTGTGAAGATATTGTGTGAGTTATATGTGCTGAGTGGTTTCCATTAGTCTGATTGGTCTAAATCACTGGCTTTCAATTAGTAGAATATTGACTTTCTTTGTAAAGTAAGTTAAAGGTATAGTGTGATGCCAACCTAGTACTTTAAACGCGCCATATTACTGGGACATGCAAAAATGTTGCTCTCTGCCAGACTGCTGCTCTGTGTCAGACTGTAAATGGCTTTACTCAAATAGCCAAACAGTGAATAAAATGTGACTAAATGAAGATCTTAAGTAAATGTGAATATAACTTACTAATTTCAAGAGTCTTGCCAAAAACCTCTAGCATATTAAAAGAAAACACGGAAATTGAGAGCCACCTAAGTAATAACAGTTGTCCCTTTAATTTTTGATTCCCATCATCTACTAGACATCTCATATTTTATCCAAAATGGCAAATCTCTAATGTATGCTCCCATTGCTGCCAGAATGAGCATCCCTTAATACATATTTGCCCATTTTATTCCCCTACTTAAAATTCTTCTGAATTTCCCTATTTTTAAAAACCCATTCAGGCCATGATTTCCAAACTTTCTTGCTTCTTGGAGTCCATTCTTCAAAGCACTTCTCAGCCAAAATAAATATTGAGCAGTTTTATTTATTGAGTAGTTAGATTCTGGCAACTTAACAGAAGTAGTGTTTATGTTGTTTCACAGATATTGCTGTGTTTCCTCCTGAAATTGAATGTATCCTATGGTGTTACTGATTGTCTTCTCTGGCATCCTGAGTTGCCTCGGTGCACAGTTCTGAAACTCTGGCATTATGGCGTATCTGTTCTTCCACCATCTGCTTGCATCTGCTCAAGTTAAAAAGCTACCTCCCCTCCCTTTGAGTCTTGGTCCCAAGCAAAAACTGTTTCCCCATGCACAATTCTCAGATCTACTGGAGAATTGTATGCATCTATGATTTTGGTCATTCCAACTCCTCTACCTGACCTACCATTTCCTGTTCCTGTCCACCTTAAGAACATCTACCTCGTTAGCAAAGTTTACATCTAATATCACCTCCTTTATTAATGTTTACTTCCCTTTATCTCTGCCAGGTAGAGTGACTTCTTTATGTTTGCATTATGTTGTATACAGACTTCTATCACAGCAGCTATATTATTTTATTTGAACTATTTCCTTTGGCTTTTATTCTTATCTAGACTGTAGGCCCCTTATCAAGAAGTAAAATCATACCTAACCTGTCTTCATATTTCTAGTATTTTAGAGAGAACCTGGTGATTTAACAAAAATCTGACCAATGAAACAAGGAATTTCTGCTGTTCAGTGCTGCTAGTCAGGATCCACTAGGAGAGTTTAGAAAGAGGTGATTTATGGCTATGATTTCAAGTTTCAGGGTTTTCATGAAGAACTTTAAAGGAATGTTTATAATTAGTGCATTCAGTATTTTAACTATAACTTCCTGCAAAGATTATAAACTTCGTTTCCTCACCAGTAAGTATTGGTCTTATTTAAAATATGAATTTTCCTATCAAAATTTGTTTTATCTTAAATAAAAAGTTCATCTCTTCTCAGGCTGAAATTTTACAACTTACAAAAACACCTTATGAACTTTGGGGAGGTTTTATTCAGTATTTATTTTACCATTTGCAAATTTTAAAACATTTACTGATCACACAGGTTAGCAATATATTCATATGTATGTGACAAAATTAATTAGTATGTATCAATTTCTTAATGTGAACAAAGGTCCTGCAAATATTAGATTAAATATTTAAAAAATACCTTGACAGTGCATTGCTCTATAAAAGAAAATGTCTTGGCTATGTCCCAGTGAAGCACTTGACTCTTACAGATATGGGCAAGAAATGAGATCATATTAAACTTCTCTTCCAGTGTTATAAGTATTCTACTGAGATATAATAGCTTCTTCTGTTTCCAAAGGGATACTGGGTTTTCTCAATGATTTATTTCCAATTTAGCAGCTAATTCAATTGCCATTATACAGTTTCTTCTGCCCAAGACTCTTGAGAGTGTTTGCCTCCTGAAGCTACTGATTCTTACAACATCACAGAATATGAATTACTAACAATTCATCACATATTTAATAACAATAGTACTTTCATCTTGTGTAACTTAAAAAGATTTTTTTTTCAGTAGTGCAAAAAGCACCCTTGTGAAATAAAGATGTTTTCCAGTATTGTGTCTATTTCAGAAATGAATGAGCACTGGCCCAGAGGTTCTATTAAGGTCACAGAAGCCACTGGTGCACTAAGTCATGGAATTCCCAAACTGGCAACTTCAAGAACCTTGTTCTAAACATTCAGTCATATGAGTTATATTATATGTGTTTGAAGGGAAAAAAGATGGTAGAGAATACAGATATTTTCCTCCTATCAGAAGATTGTTATTTTTTTGAACTCTAAGCTTTATTCCAACAATCTTATGGGCATTAGGAGGAGGGAAATGGTATTTGACAGCTGTCTTATTTGTGCTAGTCAGTATATTAGATGTTTTACAATAATATGTTGTTAGATTTAGCCAAAGATTGTGTAAGATGGCTATCATTGTTTTCATTTTACAAGACAGAAGAAGGTTACCATGTACTGAAGGTCACACAGTTATTATGCGGCAGATTTGGGTCAGGGTAATTTCTGAAGCCCATACTCTCCCTAACTAAAAATATTTCCTTCTGCATGTTGCTGTATATAAGAATTGAGGAGGGTGTAAAATTATGTGATATACCTACTTTTAAGAAAATGACATACTAAAACCTAAAACTACAATCATTAATCCTAAAATTTTTTAAAAAATAAATTTAACTAAAATGCTTAATGTGACCTACCTTGCAGTTGACCTAAACTGGCTTAATGTTCCTCTCAGCTTGACTAAACTTTAGACAGGTTTCATACTGACTATAGGCCTCCATCTTCTCTTTTGTTAGAGCATTGACAAGAAAATTTGCAAGTATGTATTTTTTCTCTGCCAATTTTAAATGTATGTAAATCGCTCTCAGCCTCTTGCAATTTTACAACCTAGGAGTGCTTTTCCAGAGGGCCTGGTAACCAGCCCTTTGAAATGTAATCATTAAGGAAGAGAGTGCTTCTATCTCTCAGTATCTGTGGGAGGGAAGAAGTGGACACCAATTAGCAAACACAGATAGCCTAAGCCCAGAGAAAACCATTTGTAAACTCAAGAATAACTCAATGTACTCAACACATTTCATTGATCAACTACCCCATTAATGTCTTCCAGAACTTTTTTGCTAGGTCACTCCAGTGCTAAAAAACCCTCTAGCCCTTTATCTTGGTATGGAGCTGGATCTGGGTATCCAGAATTGCTCTGTGCTCTCTCACTTATTGCTGTCAATAATATCGGAATAAAATCAACTTTGGTCTGCTGATCTTGTCCCCTGCAACTTTTTTGCTTTAACACAGTAATGCCATTTCCAGGAAGTTATTCGAGAAATGTGCCTGTTGATGAAAACTCATATTAAATAACACTGAATTATATTTTGCATTTCTTTGTGCCTAGTAAACATGCTTGTAAACAAGTGTATTTATTTCTATTTTCTTGAAAATGGTATTTGATAGGTTTAAATAAAATACTGTTTAAGTATTATTGTACATATTTTTTCTACTACCATTTTAAGAACCTTACATTTAGTCACAGCAGCATTTTCTTTTTGGCTATTCTTATGCGTTGCTGATTTGAATGAATTGATACCAGATTGAAATGCATATGTAAATCCATCCATTGTGTATCTATGACCATTCCTTTATACTGATGTAAATTATTTGAAGTTACTAGAGTTCTAATGTGCTGAATTCAATATAAACAAAACTAAAATATTCTAACATAGACCCCAATTTTTGTATTTTAGTGAAGAGACTTTTTAGGTTCAAATAAAAATGTAATAAAGAAAGAAAAGATTTTTTGAAGACTTGTTATCACATTTTGAAAAACTCTATTTGTGAGAATACACTTGATTTTAATCAATGTTGAATTCTTTTTTCAGAGTAAGATACATTATTATAGTATTTTAATAGTATAACAATTAATTTACTTTATAAAATATAAATTAAGTTCACATTAAACTCCAAATAAAATATTACTTTCAGTAAAATTCTTTAATATCAATATTCTCAAGCCTCTCTTTTAATAAAACTACCCAGATTCTGTTAATTATCCTAAAATCACAATGTGACAAGGTATGTGTATAATTTCAAAATTGGGATTTTTTTTATTTTTATGCCTTTTTGCATATAAAAATACTTCTCTCTCCTTCATTCCTCTCTCAATCATTTCCAAGGTTACTACTATTTTGGGCTCTCACAAATGTCAAAGCTAAGTCCAGAGACTGATGATGTGCCTTTGAGATGGAGGCCATGCTCACATTAGTTGTGGTGTGAAGGCTGTTATTAGAGTATACTCTCTTCCATGAAATGTCCTACCCACCTGTTGGGACGTCTTTGAAAAGAAATTCAATAATCTCATTTCCTCCTGAATACTATCCAATAATTTCCCATCTATCTCAAAATTAAAGCCAAATACTAACCCAAGGCCCCACTTCATCTAACTCTTGACTACTTCCTCAACCTTGCATTAGTTTGCTAGGGCTACCATAAACAATTACAGCAGAGAGAGTAGCTTAAACAACATAAGCTTACCACAGGTCTACAGACTAGAAGTATGAGATCAAAATGTCAGCAGGGTTATTTTTTTCTGAAGCCTCCCCTTGGCTTGTAAATTACTGTCTTTCTCCTGTGCCTTTTTGTGTACAAATCTCCTCCTATAAGGACACCAGTCATATTGTATTATGGCCCACTCTAATGACCTTATTTTACCTTAGTTACTTTTAAACATCCTGTTGCCAAAAACAGTCACATTCTGAGAGACTAGGAGTTAGGATTTCAACATATGAATTTTGAGGGGTCACAATTAGCCAATAATACACCATGTTCCCTAAGCTTTCTCTTCTTAGATCACTATTCTCTGGCTGGACAGCAGTTCTTGTTATTGAAAAATGCCATCTCAAGGCTTTTGCTGTTTCTTGTCTCGCCTGGAATGGTATTCCCCACTTCTTTGCTAATTTACACTTTCACTTCATTCAGAGATGCCCCCGCCGAGATATCCTCTCTGAAGTAATCCTCCTCACATGAACACAAACTCTCTGTTATCCTTACTTTCTCAAGATTTCTTCACAACACTACCTGACACACTGTTGTATATGTGTTAGTCTGTTAGTTGTCTGTCTACCATGCTCCCACACCTTAGAATATAAGATCTGTTTTATACTGTCTGCCATGTTTACTGCTACTGTGTTTTGTATCTTTTAGGTGGTCTTAATATGCTGTTGCTGAAAGAATGAATTTCTTCTAGGTGTGCATGAAACTGAGTAGGGCTGAAGATCACCGAAGAATGCAGACACAGAAAGGGTGAATCCTGGATGGTCTGGATTTAGAACATTCAAATAAAATCTTATGGTGATTGAGATTGATTTACCTAAACGATCATCTAAAGAACTATGAAATAAACCTATAGTGACTTTTTTTTAGCATTTTGGAGGCCCCAATCTTTCTTTAATGAGAACTACCATTCTAAGGACACTGGATATTCTTCTGATTGTAAAATCATTTTGCTATGGGCAGAACACACATCTGTGTAATTTTTAAATTCTAAGATAAGTACTCAATTTTCTTATTTTAACAAAGATTCAGAATGTGTCTCTTTAACCAAAAAGAGTTATATCATAAAATCTTTTAAAAATGTATGCTTTTACATTGGTTTTGTCCTGTGATTGATTTGATGCCCAAAAATTGTAAAGTACAGCTAAATTTGGGAGCCAAGTTATTAATAATTAAAGGCTGATTTATCTTTGACAAAGAGTCAAAGATGGACTGACTTAATTACTGTGAAATCTGGGGTTTTATGTAGTTATTTCACAAAACTTAGTATATTTAATGACAGATTTAAATAAATGAAATCATTTCCTCACTAAAATACTTATCTTAGTTCAGCATATTTTCTGCCAGCTCCTTCTAAGTGAATTTGAAAACTTGGAGTCTCATGTGGACAATGATTCATATTTTTAAATCATGAAATACATTTTCTTCATTTCAGAATGCAATTTTCCTACAGGTAAGTTGGATTCCTTCTAATAGAAGAATATAATTGCCGACTGATAAGATTATAAATTTGCAGATAAAAGATTCAGGATATATTTAATGAAACAGAGGAAGAATAACAACATAATAGAAACCCATCTTAGTTGAAGTAGGATATTCCAAGTATACTGTGAATTTTTTAGAAAGGTTATATATGAAATAAAATACCTCAGAACATGAAACAGTTTGGAGCCTTTTAGATATACCAGAGAAAAACTGTCTGAGAAGCATGTGGTATAGAGCAATTGTAACAGTTAAAAAAGTCTCCATTAAAAGTATTTTAAAAGTATATCATATTTTAATATGATAAAGTTACTTTAGTAGAATTTAAAGACAAAAGTTTTATGTAAATATAGCCCACGTGTATCCACAGTAATGTTCTTTGGCTTCAAATAAAAGACCAACAAATGAGAAAAAAACTCGTTTTGATTTAGAGCAGACATCTTGTCAGTGGGTGATTTTAAAGTTAGCTTTTCAGTAAACAAGCTAGTGAGTAAAATGCGTACTTTCAGTGCAGCAGTGACTTTTTTCCCAAGGCCTAGATTTCTCTGTTTACAGCTCCATGACTGATTCCTAAGGTTTAGTTCTCTTATCATGCTACATATTTTTAAAAGCTTGAGATATAATTCACATATTATACAATTCAAAGTGTATGATCCAAAGGATTTTAGCATATTCACGGATATATACAACCATCACCACAGACAATTTTACAACATTTTCATCACCTCAAAAAGAAATTTCTTTGTGTTTTAATGATACCTGGGCCTTTCTCCTGCAGTTGTCCTAAAGTGTGGATGAAGAAAGAACGTTTACAGTTTGATAAACCCTTTACTCCTGTTACTTACCTTCTCCCCAATCTGAGACAAAGTGGGTTTACAACGGAAAAAAAAACAAAACAGAAAATAAAAATAACCCTGTGTCATAACTACAGTACAACAATGACAAATAGTGAGTCTGGATATATGAGAAATTTGAGAACCAATGTACTTACATTCACTTCCAGAACACATCGTTCTCTGCATCTATTTAAATGTGAAAGATCTTATGTTTTCTCTCTGGGAGGGACGGAAACTGTGTTGAATTCTATACCTCTTGAATCTAAAGAAATATTGATTGATCTTCATTACAATTCATTGAATCTTTGTGTGAAATCCAAATTACCTTGCCACTAAAACAACATTCCTATTCTTTCACATAACTTCAGTCTTGCCTTACAAGCCCTCATCATTTCTTTTTCCAACATAAAATGAATTACAAGCAATTTCCACAGAATTAGTTGTTCTTCACATATACCATCGTTTAATGGCCTATGGGTAAAATTTTTTAGTAAACATCCCTCTTGGGAACTCCTAATTTATATGAGTATAAAATGTCCCAAGAAGGTTTAGAGTGAAGACTCCTGTGTTAAAAAATCTTTTAAATATTCTTGGGCATAGAGCACTTTATTCGTACAATCTATGTTAGCATACAATGGAACACAGTTTGGAAAAAATACTGTTTAATTATTCTCCTGTTTCATTACCTATACATTGCCTGGGAAGAATGAATTTTTTTGTATGCAGTACTTTCATGCTTTGGGTTATATTATAAAGATAGATTTCTTATGCCTGAAGTAACAGATCAATATCATATACACTCTTAGATGTTTTGTATAGGAGTTGCTCAATTTCTTCCAAAGGATTTCTTCTAGTTATATTTCAGTTTCCTCCTTTGCACTTTTGTTTACATTTGTATTATCATATTTTAAATGTTTGTTAACATGAGAGAAGGAATGGGGTACTTTATTTCATTTGAAATTATTTTATAAAATGTTTGAAGAAAACTATATAACTCATGTCTTTTATTAACTCTAACATTTATTATTTCCATATATACTTTTATTCAACTTGAAAACTATTCTTTCTATAAACCCTCATTTTAGTTAAAATAGTTCTCATTTAGTTTTGCTCTTTGCAACCAAACAAGAGTATTAATATCAAGTTCAAATGGAGTTCTCAATTAAACCTTTTATGACCTTTAAAAATAACTAAAATTTATTAGGAAGTAAAAAAGATGTACAGAAAATTTTAATGTAGCACAACTAAAAATCAGTATTTTTAGGCCACAGTAAAACTTAAACAGATGTTATAATACTTTCCAAATTGAATAAAACTACATGAATTTCAGAATTTGATTTTGGGACAATTAGCCAAA